>NC_000010.11:90294610-90597640 GCF_000001405.40 Homo sapiens | reverse complement strand
CTCCATCTCTGTTTCTCTGCACATACATTTTTCATTCTTCTTTCTCTGCCCTTCAGCTTTCTCTACCTCTTACTTTACATGGAGAGGTATGATTGTCTCTCGATGACTTCATTTTTGTTTTTAATGTAATACCTAAGCCACAGCAGAGACTACCTAGCTCTCTTTAATTTGCACTTCTCAATTATTTTGGGAGGATATATGACTTGTCCAGCTTGGGTCAGGGGTCTAACTCCAGACCAATCACAAAGGTTGTAGATCTGGCTTAAGTAGTGAACAACTCATAAAGGTCCATGCCTATGGATGGGAAGTTAGGGGGACAGGGCCTTGAGTCTCATCAAGGACTGGGCATTTACCTCCAGAGGTGTCATGTCAGGTGGTAGAAGGAGAGTCTTCTGCAGAGGAAGAAGCAAGGAAGGAGGGGAATTAGAGGGAACTTGATAGATGAGCTCTTCAAGATAGAGTGCTCCCCAAGCTCTAGCTGCCTTTATTTATCACCTGTTTTTATAAAAGATAACCTTTGAATGAGACTTTCGTAGAGATTTGCAGGAAGGAAGCAATTGGAAATGGCTGGCTAGGGTAACACATCTGGAGTGTATATCTGACAATAGGTCTGGTTAGTCACTGCTTTAGGAGCAGACATGGTCTTAAACTCTCTGTACGCCTTCTTTCATCCTTCTCTATGCTCTATGACCAAAGCAACACATTTTAGGGAAGTTTGGGTGGAATTAGAGGTATCTTCCCAGAGATAGCAATTTTTTCTTTAAGGGCTTGAATGTGATCTTCCTCCTGGCCTCATTAGAAACAGGATCAGCCATCCACATTCCATGAGCCCTGGAGTTACCTGGGGCTCTCTTTAATCTCCCGTACCTAGGACTTTTCTACATAAAGCTTTTTTATCCTTTATTCTGTGACATTTGCTTTGGCTATTATCTCCAGAAGTTAAACTATGTCGAAAGGTTTTTGAAAAATATGAGTGTATTGCCCTGACTCATTGTCATGCGAATAAAAAGACAACTTAAAAGGCTACAGCAGGTATTAAGAACAGTGTTTCTTTACTGAATCCAGGCTGGTGAGTCTTAATCAAAATTTTCTTTCTCATAACCTCCATGTTTCTGAAGTGCCTTTCAAACAATTTATTTTAGAATCTGTGTTTCATTTAGGTCCCTCTGGACATCACATATTAAATTCAGAGAGGCACTATTTATGCCCTCCCCAGGGCAATCTCCATTCCTCTCCCCATACTCAAATTTCCCCAAAACAGTTTTATCCATTCTCTTATTTAGTGTTGGTTTCCACTGGGGTTTTCCCTTAGGACCTAAGAAAATGAGGAAATAGATGGCTGTTAATGGTTTTTTGGCAGTTTATGAGGGTACAGAGTTTCCTCGTCAGTTTCTTCCCCCAAAATAAAGATCCACATGTCCATTTAATGCCTTCCTCTCAAACTATCTGGACGGTCTTCCCTAAAATAAACAGGACATATTATTAGAACAGAGAAAGACATAAAATGAAATGAGGAAATAGATGGCTGTTATGGTTTTTTTGGCTGTTTATATGGGTACAGATTTTCCTCTTAGGTTTCTTCCCCAAAAATAAAGATCCACATGTCCATTTAATGCCTTCCTCTTAAACTATCTGGACTGGGCTTCCCTAAAATAAATGGGACATATTATTAGAACAGAGAAAGACATAATAAAAAAGAAATAGGACATATGTACACTGTAATCAAGGTGATATTTTAATTCATCTGGTGTTTGTCCGGGCCCTCTCTGGAGGCTCATTCCTGCCATGTAGTCTTGCTCTTTCCACAGTCAGGAAAAGAGAGGATCAGAAGTTAAATCCCTGTTGGGCAAAGTGAATATATCAGTTCGCCAACCATGGATCTTGCCTGAGAAATTTGTGGAGCGGTGTTTTATGGTTTCTTTGAGTTACAAAGTTTTTGAAGCTCATTATTGGCTATAAAGTTTGGACCATGTGTGTCGGAAAAGGAAAATAGACTGTAGTTGCAACACAGTTCGGCATCACAAGCAGGGAAGATGTAACAGAGGCATGTGGATGTTAAAAGAAGCATAGTCTCTATTTGGGCAGGACACAGTACAGGGGAGGAAGAGATAGGAGAGGCCCCAGGAGGAAAGATTAAAAATCAGGTCAGCCTAAGGAAGAGTCTCAAGATGCATGGAGAATCCTTCTCAGATTCTTGATTACTCTCTCTCATTGACATTGAGAGCTAGTTTTCTTGATTTGATCTGGGGCAAAGGGAGCTATAATATGCCTGTTCTAGGGTGAACTGCAAAACAGAAAACTCTCTTCCCAAAACTATCACTTGGTAATGGCTTTGACACCTTCCATATCCTTCTCCTTTTATACCTCCTCCCCAAGTTCATGGAGGTCTGTGCTTTCTCCCATCCTTATCAAAACCTACTCCCAAGAAAGGAAATTATAAGCTTGATTATATAGAAATGAAAAGTCCTACTTCCACCTTCTGCCCATGACATTTGCCATTTAGTAGAGAGAAAGATTTGAACCGGAGAACCACACATTAGAGTTTCCATATTTCAAGTTTTCTCTGGCTACTTGCCTGTTTTGGTTTTCCATGTACCAATAAGATCTGCTGTCTAAAGTTTAGCTTCCTTTTCCCCCTAGCAATTATCTTCTGTTAGTTTACCTTTTTTATCCCATTTTATCCCATTAGGCTGCAACTGAAGTTTAATTAAGACAGACTATACAAAGCCAGAGTTTGGTATGTTGCTACAGAAGCTGTTTTTAGATATAAGCAATTCCTCAACACAGGTGTCCTCCCGAAGGTTATGAGCTCCTTTTTACCTGCCAGACTCCCTTTCAGTGCCACAATGTCTACCTGGTCAGCGTGTGGAGGAGGAGACTCTACCTGCTCTCCTGAAGCTGGGGGGTCAAGACTATCTCCCAGATCCAACCCTGTCTCATAGTGGCCTCAATGCACTCAGAATTTCTAAGCAGGAGAATGTCAATAGGGCAGTGCTATTTATAGGTAAATATTGGGTGGAGCAATTAGCTTGTTCTATGTTGTAAAGGTTCTAATACTAAAAAGGAGATAGGTATCCAAGATGGAAGAAGGCTGACTGACTGCCAGTGAAAGAGAAGGGGAGTAGCTACATATTAATGGATTTTAAAGCAGTGATAGAATTCTCAAGTAGCTTAGTGATATGGTTTGGCTGTATCCCCACCCAAATCTCATCTTGAATTTAACTCCCATAATTCCCACATGTTGTGGGAGGGTGGTGGGAGGTAATTGAATAATGGGGGTGGGTTTTTCCTGTGCTGTTCTTATGATAGTGAGTAAGTCTCATGAGATCTGATGGTTTTATAAAGGTCAGTTCCCCTGCACATGCTCTCTTGCCTGCTGCCATGTCAGATGTGCCTTTATTACTCCTTCACCTTCTGCCATGAATGTGAGGCCTCCCAGCTATGTGGAACTGTGAGTCCATTAAGCCTCATTTTCTTTATAAATTACCCAGTCTTGGGTATTTCTTCATAGCAGTATGAAAATGGACTAATACACTTAGTAAGTAAAATAGAAACCAGTGGTTCTCATTTCTGGCTATATTACAGAACCACCTGGCACTTCTTAAAGTACTGGTGCTTGGGCCCCATGCACAGAAGTTCTAATTTAATTAGTCTGATTGAAGCCCTGAGCATCAGTGTCATTACAAAGCTCCCCCGGTGAATCCAATTTGAAGCTGAAGTTGAGAAATGCACATCTCAGACCAAAAGTGTCCAGGTTTTTCAGTGTTTGCAGTACACAGGTAGAAATGGCTCCTTAGGCCAAGGGGAAATAAGATTCTATCTTGCACTGTACAAATCTGGGCTCTGTATGTGAGTGGAAGGAGCTTCTGGAATCTGATTTTTTTTTTTTTTTTGAGACAGAGTCTCGTTCTGTCACCCAGGTTGGAGTGCAGTGGCATGATTTCGCCTCTCTAAAACCTCCACCTCCTGGGTTCAAGTGATTCCCCTGTCTCAGCCTCCCATATGGCTGGGTCTATAGGCATCTGCCACCACGCCTGGCTAATTTTTGCATTTTTAGTAGAGGTGAGATTTTGCCATGTTGGCCAGGCTGGTCTCGAACCCCTGACTGCAAATGATCCACCCACCTTGGCCTCCCAAAGTGCTGGTATTACAGGTGTGACCCACCACGCCTGGCCTAAAATCTGCTATAAGCCTGCCAGGTGATGCTGATTCAGATGGTTCCATGAACTTTACAGAGTACTCTAAAATAGAGAAAAAAGCATCTCCTTTTTATTCATCTATTGTTTATGATGAATATGTTATTTTGTTTAAGTTCCCAAAGAAAATCCTAGGAGGAAAGGGACATTATTTCAGGTTACAGTTAAGTAAACTCTAGCAAATTGTCAATAAATACAAATCTAGTAAAAGCAAAGCCTGACATCACACAGGAGTATTTAGTTGAAGGGCTAAGGATAAGGAAAGCATTAACCACAGACTTTTCCCTAAGCTTTTCTAGGCTTCTTGTTGGTACACTAGCTGGCCCCCAGGGGTCATGAGCGACTAGCTCAGAGGAGGTGGGTGAGAGGAGCTGGTTGAGAAGAAGTGAGAAATGCAGCTGTGGGCATAGGCTGGCCTGGGCAAAAAAAGCTTCTGAGATGGTGCTGCAGTCAGAAGACTCTCTCGGTGCTGCAATTTCTGAACAATTGCAAACTCTGGCAGCCTTGCTTGTAAGAAAAAGCCAATAATTTTAGAGGGAATTAGAAAGCCTTGCTGCTTTAATTCTTGTTTTTCCTGCTGTCTGTCAAATGTCAATCTTTGTTGTCCTGATAAGGAACTACGTTCCCTACCAGTAAAGAGAATCTGAAAGCTTCATAAACACCCATTTGTGCATATAAATACATTTGGGAGAAGGGTGACATCATCAGAGCAGTGACAGTTTTTGAATGGAGAAGGGGAGGGGAGTGAACTAAAAGTAGTGATCTTGTCTTCAATGTGTCTGACTTTTGAGCAGGAGAGAAACCCATTTCCTGCTAGTCATTTCTTCTCTGTCCCTCATTAGAGAGAACATTTCCCCTGAGTTCTACAGATTTTATCCACAAACAAATATAGCTCACTTTGGTTCAAAGTTCTACGTATTCTGGGCCACTCTATTCCACTGCTGGCTTGATACATTCACTTGGATGCTTCACAGTCAACTAAACATGTTCATTGTCTACTACATTCTTGTTGCCAGAGACAAAGTCCATTTTCTCTTCAGTTGCTCAAAGCAGAAATAGAGGAGCTGGCCTTGACATCTCCCTCTCCTACCCCTCAGCTTATCCAGCATCAAGTTCTGCGCTGTCTCCTCCTGAGTATTTCTTAAATCAGACCACTTATCTCTATCCCCCTTGTCTTGGTGCTTTCTGGAACTGCCCTTGTCACTGCCTGGACCAGTACAGTAGCCCATGCTCTCACTGCTTTTCCTGCATCCACGCTTGCCCCTCCCATCGTGTTAGCCAGTGATCTTTTCAAACTGCTAATTTTTATTTTAAACTTGTGGATTTTAAAAATTGCCTTTAGAATAAAGGTCAATACCTCTGACTTGGTCTGTTAGACCTGACCCTTGCCTACCTTTCCAGCTTTAATTCTGAGCTCTCCCCACCCTCCATTCTAAATCCCATTCATATGGGTCTTCTTTGGTCCTTTGAATGCTTCATATTTGTTCTTCCTTCAGAGCCTCTGTACTAGTTTTTCCCACTGCTGAAACTCCCTCCCCTTTGCGTCTTTAATGCTTCCTCCTCCTTCAGCTTTCATCTCAAATGTCATTTTCATCAATCTCCTTTCCTGCCCCTCCCAGATAAGCGTCAGTCCTCCCGCTGTGCACTCTGGCTTCCTACATGCAACTTCCAACTGCTTACCTAAGTATGCAACAGACAGGGCCTCAGACTGCCTTGTCAACTATATGACCCCATTGTAACTCAAGTGCCTAGCACATACTGGGTACTCAACATCTGTGAGTGAAGATAAAAAGGTATAAGTGAAGGATATTAAAACACAGCCCATTCTCACATAAACACATGCACATTTCATCCAGCTAAGGGCTAAGGATGATTTCAGCCTGACACTCCTTGAAATCTTTAGTTGCTTAACTAATATATTAATATGAGACCTGGTTAGAATTAGAAAAGACTGTGATTAAAGAATGGTGATGTGCTGTTTACAAAACACTCTGTACTATTTTATCACATTTGATCCTTCTAAGGACTTTGTAAAGTAAGTAGGGCTGCTGTTATTGTGTCTGTCTACAGAAGATGAAACTGGAGCTTGATGAAGATAAGTGATTTGCACAAGGTCAAAGAGAAGAGGCATAACAGGGAAAACAGCCCTCATTATATGAATCCTATCTAGTGCAAATGATAATATTAGTAACAATAATAGCTAACTTAGTGTTTGAAATAATTTTAGATGTTATACTTAAGACTTTATATAAATTGTCTTGCATGTACCAAAACCACTGTGAAATTATACAATTACTATCTTTTCTTTACAGAAAGAGGAAATTAACCTTAGAGAGGTTAACTAACCTTCTGTAAGTGGTAGATACAGAGATAAAACCCAGGCACTCTTGCACCAGATCTCTATTCTTAACAACTTACATTTTGGTCTCATCTATGTTTACAGGAGCTCCTGGTTTTCTAGACATTTCTATCATGTGTCTAAAGCATATCTTCAATTAAAAGAATATATTTCTCTTTTTTTTGCTGTTTGTTCATTTTCCTTTTGAGTTCTTTTTTTCCTTTCTTACCAGAATCCTTCCTGTTTTTCCTGAGTTCTTTATTATGGGATGCAGTAAGTTGATTGCAATAGGAACAACAAAACAAAACTCAAAGAGCAAGTATGAAGCCTATGTTCACATATTTTTGTTGTCGAGAATGTATGCCTTCTGCAGAAAATGTTCAGTTTGTCTCTATCCCAATGTTTAGTGAGTTATACTGTCAACAATGATATTAATTGTTCTGGGTTGGAGCCATCTTAGCTGTTCAGGTAGGCATATTGGTGGAGCAGAACATGGTCTCAACTGAAATTTTAAAAACTTGGCTTTTAGCCCAGTTTTGTCATTTAGCTGAGTGACATGTAGCAAGTCACTTAACCTCTCCAAACCCAAGTCTCTTCATCTATGAGACAATAGCTCTGCCTTGTGAACAGTCATCTTGAATTGTGAAATACATTTTTATCATAAGGGAATTATGTTGTACTTTCTTTTAGGAGAAGGAAAGAACACAAAATAGAACATTTTCATTAATATTTTTCATGGAGAAAGCTACAGACAGACACTTCTATTTAATTAGCCAGCTGGTGGCACTGAATACATGGAGTCAGTTTCCAAATAGCCAAAGAATGATGGAGCTTAGGACAGGTCAGAGTCGAGGGAAGAGGGTGGGGGAACCAAAAAGGGAAAAAGTGGATAATTTATCTTCTTTAGGCTTTGGGTTGAGCACACCGGCATGGTCAGAGTGAGGAGCTCATGCGAAGTTTGTTGTTCTTCCTTCTCAGCAATCCTTAGGGATAGGAAATGGATTTTTTTTCTCATGCTTCAACTCAAATTCATTGTCAGTGCCTGCCAGGAACACTTTGTCGAGGTCATGTCAGGGCTCACTGGAAACAGGCCATGTGAATCTGTAGTGTCTTCCACAGGCTTAGGAGGGCATGGCAGCCTCACTTCTCATGCATTTGCCACCCTTCCTCTAGACCTTTGTTATCATAATGGGAAAGACACCTGGAGTAAAAGAGGCTTAGAAATTCTGGCTTGGTGACTTCCATTGCCTTCTTGTGTTTTCATAAGACAAAGCATCAGGGTTTAAAGCTGACTTTTTAATGGTTAGAGACAAAAGTTACAACCAGCTAGCTCACAAAGCACACTCACCAGCTTATGTTAGTTATAGTAACTTATAAAACAGGTCCTGTTCTTTACGGTTAGTTCTATACCTGCTTTTCAGGATCTTATTGACTTTGGAACTAAGAAGTGCCAAGAGCCTTTGGAGATGACTTTTGAACTAGCAGAGGGCATTCAATGCCTGGATCCCTTGAATGGTCACCTTAGAGACATCCCTGCCTGTGAACAGGTGAGAACACATTCACATTAATCTAACATTTACATTAATCTAACATTTACTGAACTTCAGTAATGTTCTGGGCCATTTCATATATATTAGCTCATTTAATTTGTTTTGCACAGTCCTGAAAGGTACCTATTATCATTATCCTCATTTTTACAGATCAGGAAATTAAGGCTGAGAGGGGTTAGCTAACTTGCCTAAGTTGTACAACTAGTGACTGGCTGATCAGGGCTTATGCCTAAGTGTTCTCAGGTTAATTCCTGTGCTCGTTCCTTAAGCCACAATTGTCCAGTGGAATACGGTGCTAAGCTTGGTGTAAGGATGTCCTATGCAATTTGACTGTGGAGCAGAAGATTGGGGCTCATAGACATTTACCTAAGTTCCTCTTGTGGGCTTGTTCACTGACTTTTTGACTTCAAGGTGCACTTGAAATTCTGGAGCCTGTGATCTTTTGGCCCATTTAACATGCTGTTTGTTTTTATTGAGACAAAGTCTCCTTCTATTACTGACTAGAGTGCAGTGGTGCAATCTTGGCTCACTGCAACCTCCACCTCCTAGGTTCAAGCGATTCTCCTGCCTCAGACTCCTGAGTACCTGGGACTACAGGCATGTAAAACCACACCTGGTTAATTTTTGTATTTTTTGTAGAGACAGGGTTTCACCATGTTGGCCAGGTTGGTCTTGAACTTCTGACCTCAAGTGATCCACCTGCCTTGGCCTCCCAAAGTGCTGGAATTACAGGCATGAGCCACCATGCCCGTCCTAACATGCTATTCTTAAGACAAATTATTTAACAATAATCTATTGCATAGTGACTTAGTTTCAGGCCTTGAGGATAGAGCAATGAACAAAGACAATGCCCCTGCTCTCATGAATCTTATTCTAGTATAGGAGATAGGAAATTATCAAAGAAAGAAATAAATAACATCATTTAGATAGTGTAATCCCTCTGAGGATAAACAAAGCAGGATATGAGGCTGATGAATAATGAGGTTACTATTTTAGATGGCGAGCACAGGAGAGACCTCTCAGAACAGGCAGCATTTGAGCCTAAAGTTGAATAATATGTGCAGTGAACCTTATAGTTATCTGGAGTGAAAATGTCAGCAGAAACAGGCAGTGCAAAGGCCCTGAGGTAGAAACATACAAAACGTGCTCAAGGGATAGCAGGAAGGCCATTCTGACAGGTTGGTGTCAGGGAAGGGAAGAGTAGGAGGAAATGAAATAGAAGTGGTGTCTGGGAGAAGTTGGCATCATCGTATAAGACTTTTTAGATGATGGTAAAGGCTTTGGATTTTATTTTAAGTGTGATGGAAATTCAGTGGAGAGTTTTGAACTGGGACATGATATCCTCTGTTTTTACAAGATTCTCTCTGGCAGCTGTATTAATGACAAACTGAGGGTGGGAGGCAGTGGAGGTAGACAGATGCATTAGGAGGTTACCATAGACCAGGTTCGACATGATGGTAGACTGAGGTGGTAAGAAGTGGTTAGGTTCGAAATGTGTTCTGAAGGTAGACCAGATGGGATTTGCGTGTAAATTAGATGTGGTGTTATCAAAGTTATTTCACTCTCATCTGCGTACTTGCAATTGGCAGTTGTGACCCTGGGAACTGACTCAAGAGGTAAATTTCAGGGGGTGCATCCTCAATCTCACATCTTCATTTTGGGCTATGTGGTCCTTTCATTTCTGAGGGCTGTCCCCTCCAGGTGGGTGCAACTCTGAGGCCCTGTCTTCTGTTAAGCATTGCTGCCTCCCATGTGTGGGAAGCTGTGGTTATTAAGATATACATCGCACATTCACTGCCCTCATGGAGGTCTTAATCCTACAAGAGAGGCAATATTACAATGTGGCATGAAATGCTGTAATAGAGGTGAATACTTCTCCGAAGGAATCAAGATGTGAGTGACATCTTCTAACTTAATTCTAACTTGGGTCAGAAGACTAAAAATCAGAGTTTGCTAGAGGAAGTTGCAGGGGACCTGAGCTTTAAAAGAGACCCTCCAATTTCATGTCTATGCCTGTTCGTGGTCAGTTTTCTAAATTCTTGCTCTTGCCCTTTCTTTCTCTGTGGCTATCAGCTCCCTTTATTTATTGTTCCATAAATGAGTAATCCTTCTTTTTCAGTCTAGAGGCTGGGGTGGAGGAAGCATGCATTTATCTCAGTGACTCAGACTGCATATCAATTTAGGGTAGAGACTCAAGGCTGTTCTTTTGTCCTGTGGCCAAAATCATCAGATCTCAGAGTAAACCTTTATTGCCTACTGACCCATCAAAGCCAACAAAGTGAGGAAGCCCGTCAGGACTTTACAATATGATCCTTGTAAAATCCCTTAACCCAGGAATCTTAGGTCTTGGGGCTTACCAAGGGCTCTGTTAACCTTGCTCTATGGGCTTCCTGCTAGGGAAGAGCATTTCCAGTCATTACTTATCTCAGGCTGAGGCAGGTTCTGTGAGTGTTTGCTTATGTCCTGCAGGTTGTCTTCACCTGGCTCATTGTTTTCTCAGGCTTGACTGAGCATTCCTTCGTAATACAGGTGAAAACACTGTCATGACCAAAGGCTTAAGGTTTTAGATGCTGTCAAGGCTCAGATAGATTCTCATGCAGCATTGTTATAGATCTGTTGACAATATCCATGCCTCATGCACAGTATGAATGCGTTGGTACATTACCAAGTGTCATTAGCTGATGTCAGTATGAAGGACTCATATTTTGAAAAGGAGCAGTGCTTATGGACCTTCTTTGGAGCACTTGTCAATGAATTTTGTGGGTTGTATACATGCACATCTCTCTTACTGGGCTCCATGCTCCTTGAGGACAGAAAACATCTCTTATTTTTTTTTCCAGGCTTAGTATAGTGGTGAGATAATGGAGTTAGACCATGCTTTATATTGCCTGCTGGTGAAGTTGCTTAAAAATTCTGTGCCTCAGTTCCTTCCATGTGAGATGGAAAACATACATGTTACAACATTGTGGAAATCTTAAACAACATGATACATTTATAAAAGCACTTAATGCTGTGCCTGAATTCACAGTGAACATTCAATAAACAGGACCTGTTAATATAGTAGGGTGAGTGCCCAATAACTTCATATTGAATGAACAGACGCTCTTGGAGACAAGAGATCTATTACAGGAAATGGGGTTCTATGACTGGCTCAGGGGAGAAGACAAGTACTAGCTGCCCTCATTCCAGCTTGCTCATTTCCTAAAGGAGAGGAGTGGGAATGTGGTTGGAAAAAGATGTCAGAATTTGTTTTGATGTGCGTTAATAGACCATGTCACTAGCCTATTAGAGACAGTTGCCAAAGGTTGAGGAATTTTTTCCTAATAGCAGGACAAATGTCAAAGGCTGAACTGGGCTAATCCTTGAGCTCTTTTCCTGGGGGGGCCCTGTCCCGTCTGCCCAAGTCACAAAATGGAGTACAAGAGATTGACACTCTATCCCAATCTATTCCCATCTCATTTACTTACCCCCCCTTTTTTTTTACTGTATTGGTTGCTAAGCAATATCTGTCTAATGACGTGGTACAACCTATCATGATCATGATGGGCAGAATGCATCTCCTCTGGTGTGAAGGTTGGGTCTTCTTTAGGGCCAATGTCTAGTGCCTGTGAGAGGTGGGAGTGGGGAATTCCAGATCAAAATGAACCAACGCCTGTGGTTGCCTCTTTAGGGTATCCAGGTACCATACATAATTCAGGTATGTGTGGGTGTCTGCCTTTCATGACAGCACCAAAACCCACAAGTTCTTAGAAAGCTCCTAGTATCAGCTTTCCTTGATGGCATAGCAGCTTTAAATGATGGCATAATTTAATTGGAGATAAAAATGACTCCCAGTTGTAGAGTATCTACTACATACCTTAGCCTGTTTAATCCTCACCACAAGCCTGAAAGTACTATTATCTTTTTTATCCACATGAAAGAACAGAGGCTCAAGTAACTTCCCCAAGGTGATAGGACAGGAAGGATTTAAACTCAGTCTTTTAAGCTCCAGCAGTACCACTCACCTCCCTGTAGGCCTCTCGTTTATTAAAAAATGAGCTTGCAGTGTTACATGAAAGTAATTTTAGTTTATTATTAGACTATAGAATTCATTGCAGTCCTTTGACCATTCTCTTGTCACAAATTTAATATTGTTAATTAAAGAAATAAAATATTAATTTCAGAACAGCAATTTTCTGGGACTCCTGTGATAAACTGATAGTACTTTTGTCTTTTGTACCATGGAACACTAGTTGATACAGTTACATGTAGAAATACTTTAAAGATTGATGCCTTTTACCCTTTTTGAGCTATGATATGATTTATAATTTATTTTGCTCAGGACTTGTGTTGCTCAAGGAATTTATGTATATGAACATGTATTGTCCTTCAAAGAATTCACTGTGGTAGGTCAAATATTTATTTCAACTCATATCCTCATTGGTCCCTCCCATTGGGAATTATTTACAGACCTAGTTAACAATCTGTGAAAAAAAATCTATCCAATTTTAAAAATACTTCTATTAGTGAGATTTAAAATATATGTTTAACATTTATTAAATTAAAGATCTGTTGCCTAGTTCATGTATACCCAAGGTTATATGCTTTAGAGATGATGTGGGAAATTGAGGCCATATTTCTAAGATTTCTCCAATTACTACATATGGTATAGCTGATTAAAAATTGGAAATATTTTTATGCATTGAAACTCACCCACATGCTTCCACTTGGATGACATTGTCAACTGTTTTGCCTCTAGACAAGTCTAAATATAGTTTAATTTCCATCCAGTGTGGAAATCTGCAATCTAATACTGCTGATGAGCTGCCCTCCAAATCCAACTTTTAAATTTTTGTAAACATTATTGATATTAGTTAGATTAATTTCAGATTTGCAAAAAGGCACATACATGGTTTTTCTAACCATTTCGGATTTTGACTTATTGAGAAAAAAATGTTTTTTCATTTTCTTTTATTTTTTTTAAGTAAAGGTGAGTCAAAGACAACTGTCCAGAATGTTATGCAGAAAAGCTTTCTGTGTTGTTGAAGAATGTGGGCTTTGGAGTCAGATCACCTTACTTAAAATCTGACTCTGCAACATACTGGCTACCTGTCTTTAAGGACCATGTGTGACTTTTCTGTGCCTCAGTTTCTTCATCTCTTTTCTGGTCTCCATCTTGCTATTGAAAACTTTGGTATAACTTTAATTACTCCTTTGCAGGGTAATCTATCTTTTTCTCTTTCTTCTCCTTTTATGTTTTTATTTCCAATGTCTTTGATATTCTGCTATTTTTCTATGATAAATATACATGTAGTTTTTTTTTTATTTTGCTCAGGACTTGAGCTTATGCAATCTTATGTTACATGTATTTTATTAACTTGAAAAATTTCACAGACCTTACCTTTTTGAATATTGCTCTCCCACCTCTTCCTTTCCTCATACTCTTAATAGACACATGTTGGACCTTCTCCTTTTGTTCTGCGAATCTTTTAACCTATTTTACATTTCTATCACTTTATGACTCAGTGCTACATCTTGGGTTATTTCCTCAGCTCTATCTTGTTACTTGATTCTCCCACTGACTATGTAGAATTTGTTGTTTTTTCCAGTCTACTGGATTTGAAATCTCAATAAATATTTATTTCATTTCTATAAGTTCTTTTGTTTCTTAGACTTTCTATTTTTTGTTGTTTCTTATTCTTTGATTTTCATTTTTTCTTTTATCTCTTTAGCCATTTAAATTATTTTATAAGCTTGTTCAGATTATTATTTGTCCTTCTAGGTTCTCTACTAATCTGATTTATTCTGTCTGATAACTATTTTCTAGCACATTTTGTAATTTTTGATTAAGAAATTCTTGTATGTCGTTTTTTTTCTCTTGTAGGAATTTCATATGACATTGGTTCAGAGCAGTTTTTCATTTTCCTCTGCTACATACTTCAGTGAAGTAGGCTTGGATTCTCATCACTCATGAACACTGTAAATTGGACTCTACATCTCAGATTACTTAAGCTTGAGGTTTTGATTTCTCATGGTAATTTTTTTTTTTTTACTCACCCAGAACCCAAAATAAAGAAAATGTTATTGCTGGCATCCTAAGACATGTAGACACATTTTATCGAGCTCCTCATTTTCTGTGGGCGTAGCACTTTAAGGGTCCTGTCTTTATACTGGGATTTACATCCCCACTCCTGACCTCACATAGGTTTAATTTCTCTGCATAGATATTAATGTCCAACACCCTAGCAATTAGAGATCTCCTGAGTTCTATACTCTCCTGCACACCACTCATGCCATCCTGGCCACTGAAGCATCAACTTGTGTGCTTACCACTCTTTTAGTTCCTGATGTCTGGGGATTTTACTCTTTTTTAGCTGCCTTAGTAATGTATTTTAAAAGATTCTTTTTTACTTTATTCAGAATTTGTAAGCATTTGCAGCAGGAGTAGTTTATTCATTTGTTTAGTCTATCACATTGATGAAACCAAAATTGTAGTGTCATCTTGAGGATTAAATGAGATTTTGCATGTACAAAGTTTAGCGTATTGCCTGACTTAAGTTTGATCATATTTTTGATATTAGCCATTATTATAGAACAATTTGTGTAGATTCAAAATGAACCTCAAGCTACTGCTGAGAGGAGGAAGAAGCAGTTTTAGTACCTATGTTTTTGGTTATTTCCACACAAAGTTCTATGATTAGTCATAGGCTTAGGTACTGACCAGCATACATAGTTTCCAGCACTGTTCCTGGAAGTTCTCAACTTTTAAAATTATACCCTCCAATGTTGGATGTTGCCAGTGGATTCTTGTTTTTGTCCAATTTTTGTCATAATAATTTCACTGTGTTTTTCACAAAGGTTTTATGAAGGACAGTCAAATTCTTTGCCTACAAAACGATACATGGTGTCCAGAATACCTTTTACTAACCTATCAATAAAATTAACATAATTTGCAAAGATGACAGGAGATTTTCTCCAATAAAATGAAATCCTAGACCATCTAGGGCAATGAACAAAAAAAGTATTAACAGTAGCTCCTGCTTAACTATGTCATCTAGTACAATTAGTGTCATAAGTCATTGATGCTAAGCAGATGGTAATATTTTCTTTGGCAATTAATGAAAACATAGTACAGTGCTATGAAAAAAAAATGGTATAATATGACTCCATAAAAGAATGAAGAACACTGATTAAGAGATATATTCTAGATTCTTTAGTAGAAAATTAATCCTTAGTTTTGTGAAATTTTCATAAAAATTTGAAATGAATACATACATATTATATCAAGAAAAAGTATTCTTTTTTATTATACTTTAAGTTCTAGGGTACATGTGCACAATGTGCAGGTTTGTTACATATGTATACATGTGCCATGTTGGTGTGCTGCACCCATTAACTCGTCATTTACATTAGGTATATCTCCTAATGCTTTCCCTCCCCCCTCCCCCCAAGTATTTTTTAATTAAACTATATACAGAGTTATTTATAATTAGCAAAGATGGAACTAACCTATAACCTATTAGCAAAGATGAAATTAACCTATAAACTAAACTATAATGAGAATGGTTAAGCATGCTTATAGTCTTTTTTAACCATAGAATATTTTGGTGTCATTAAAATAATGTTTATGCAAATAAGAATAACCCAGTATCACCACCTTATACTCAGAGCAAAATGATTAGCTGCAAATGGTTTTATTATTAACAAGAACGAATAAAAAATAAAGCAAGTATACTATTCAAGAATCTAGAAAAATTAAAAATTAGGCTAAGGAAAATAGAAATAGAAATAAACAATGATAAAAGCAGAAGTATAAATGAAGCCATAAATGAGCTTTTTGAAAAGTCTAGTAAATAGCTGAAATCCTGGCAATGCAAATGAGGAAGAGAAGTCATACATATGTAATATTTGAAATGAGAATGAGGATATAACCAGAAACATTAAATCAATTTAAAAACAAAATACTAATAATATGGAGAATCCAAGTGGAATATTTTGAAAATATTAACAAATAAAAAATATCTTAAAAAGAAGTAGAAAGTGTATATAATATAATGGCCATACTGAATTTTATATTTTATCATGAATTCACCATTGATTTGATTTCAGCCTGGACCATTTTACAGGTGAATTCTTTCAGACCATTCTTAAGGTATTGAATCTATTCCAGATTTTTGATTAGAAATCTTAAATTAAGGCATATTTATTACTCTCCTTTAAAAAAAAATGAAACCTGTCAGAAACAGCAAGGAAAAAAAGAAAGGGAGTAATCCACCATCTACAATGACCTAAGAAATAATGTCTACTACAGCTTCAAACTATGAAGTATTCTGGCCAAAGATATCTCTACAGAGGAGAAAGCTTGTTGATAGTCAAGTGGTATTTGCATTCTGCCAGGTATGGGTTTCTCTGAAAGTAAGCACTGTAGTCCTTAAATGAGAAGCCACTGACTGACTGCAAGCTAGAGGAATGAGGCAGTCATGAGAAATGCAGGCATGTCCCTGTAACGACTTAGTTAAAAAACACAGAAAGTCAAAAACTGCAACTGAAGAATACAGCTTATGTCATTTCTATGGTCTCTAACCAATCCTCCTAATTGAGGCGGATGCTTAGAATAAGGTAGAGTGATTCAAGGAAAAAGACAAAGCAGTTGCATATTGTAACAGAAAGCTCATGGGGCAGAAACAACTAATCATAATGTTAACCCTTGTTGAACTATTATATGTGGCAGAAACTGTTCTAGATTTAATAGTGACTCATTTAATTTTTATAACAAGCTATAAAGGGACTATGCAGATAAAAAAACAGAGATACAGATAATTTAAAGTACTATTTCAAGACCAAAGAGCTAGCAGGGAGCAGCATTGGAATTTGAATCCTGTGGGTGACTTCAGAGCATAGGTTTTGAACTACTGTCTTCTGTACTCCCTTTTCTCCCTACCCTCAACTCTACTATGCTTTTCCCTCGGACACTAAAAGATTTAGTCAGAGAATAAAGGAGAGATCAGACAAAAGAGAGGCTAGAGATTGCCAGTTCACACTCCTCTCTCCATTTTCTCCACAGAATAGTCTTGTATTCCTCTCTAATTTGTCCTGAGCGCTCTCTCTCTGGAGATTGGCTATAAACTCCAGCCTTGCCCTGATGCAGATCCATGGGATTTGATCCAGGATGTTTACAATATGCCTTTCATGGGATACAGATGCTTTTTTTTTTTTTAATTCTGGCAGATGGCTTAATGCCTAAGTGTACAACATATGACTTGGTGTCCCTCTCACAGTAAATTTGTCTATGCTGGCAGATACCCCTATGGCTCTTGTCTGACCTGTGTCCAGTTTATAACACCAAGATAGCCACTCTCCAGGAGAGCTTTGACTAGAAGGAAAGTTAGATGTGGGTGTGTCAATTAGGTAAGACAGAGGAGGCAACACAGCACAAACACATGAAATGTCAGAAGCAGTTTATTATGTACAGATCCCAAAGAGAAGAGGGGTGTCAATGAGGGTTGACAGGAAGTCTGGAGCCAACAGAGTGCCCAACCTGTAGGTGGAGTGTGGAGGAAGATCTATGAGCCAAGGACTTTATTAGGGTGCAGGGCATTACCCAAGCAGGCTTCCCACAGGAAATTCTAACTGGCATGTTTAGAGCAAGCTAGCATGAATCTCAAAGGGTCATGTTGTGACTGAGAGTGGTTACTGTGGCATGTATGTACAGTCTATGTAGGTGTGGGGTCAGTGGAGTGAGTCAGCTAGGTTGTATCTCTATGTCCCGTAGGGAGGTAGCCACCAGGAGGCAGACATTTGGATTGACCACATTGAGGAACTGGGAAGAGGCAGAGAACTGGATATGTGTCAAAGGTAACTAAGCCTTGCTTCTGGTATGAGAAAGTTAAACCTAGATTCAAAATGGATGCTGAAGCAACATAAAGTTTTAACAATTTACTCCACACAGTTCCTTATCTGGAATCTGGCAGATGAATCATTCAGAGATGAGTAAAAATCTTAAACAAAAGGAAATAAATATACATTATTAAATGAGTTGCCCAAAGAATGAAGGGTTCAGTTCAATAGAATTTCATGTTCTTAAAAAATTACAGACAATTTGATATTTCTAAAAATAAAAAATGCTTAGGAAGAGGATTGTGTGATAAGAGGAGAATCTAACAGCAAGTTGGAAAAACTCAGGAAAAACATGGCAATAAAACAAACATTTCAGAATGAAAGCAATAAGAAGTAGAAAAAGAAAGTAATACCGATTTTGGCAAAGATAGGGTGGATGGCTTGGGAAAATCAGAAAATGAATCAAACTAAAATAATAAAATATTTTAATAATAACAGAAAAGATAAAGGGAGCCCAATATATGCATAATTGGTATTTTTGAAAATGAGGACGTATGGAACAGATTCAAACATTCAATACCAAGGAGAGTGTATTTCCAGAATGTAAAGAAGTTCAATATTAGAAAAAACATTACATGTAATTTATATTTTCAATAAATGCAAAAGGGAAAAAATATATTTGCCTAATATATGCCAAAAAGGCATTTGACAAAATCTGAAACATCTGATTTTAAAAATGTGTTTAGCAAAATAGGATTAGAATAGAAATTGACACAATAAATAATCTCAAACTAACATACATCCTTAATGGCTAGAAGACTAGATTTATTCTCATTAAGAGCACAATAAAAACAAAGGTTCTGTTATCAATTATCATATAGCTTTACTTTGAAATATTAGAAAAGTTAATTGTACAAGAAAAATAAATACCTATAAACATTTGGAAACAGATGACAAAGGAGCAATAATGTGACTATTTAAAAATGATGCAAATTAATAGCAAAAGTATAAGGATGACAATAGAAAAGGCTAGAAATATACAAAAATAGTAATTCTATGAAAAATTCTATAGCCTTTATAGTAATCAAAGCATAAAAAGACAATAAGCAATGATTTGTTTTGTTTTTTTCCTATTGGACTGAAATACTAAGATTAGTAATGTTATTCAGAATTGGTAAGGGTTTGTGAAGCAGACATCCTCTGCTTTTGGGAAAATTACCAATTTGTATACCCTTCTAGTTAATCTTAGAAATAGATGAATAGCCTTTAAAATGTTATTACAGTATGACTCAGTAGTTTACCTCTAGACGTTTTTCCTAAGGAAGTAATTGGACAACATGCTCAGTATACACAAAGATATACCTTAAAACATCTTCTATTCCAGTACTCTCGTAGCAAAAATTAGAGGTACCTAGGTTGTTTATGATCTATTGTTAAATAAAAACTATTCAGAAGGTTCTGTTTAATTACTGTCTTAAAAAGTTGGGAAGAATGCATATCAAGAATGTTTATATCTAGATGGCAGGATGATTGATATTTAAAAATTTTTGTCTTCCAATTTCTTCTATGAGCATGTATTACATGTATACTGAGTTATGCTCATAAGAAACTTTTGTATATATCATGTTTGTACAGAAAGCAATGTAAACATTCTTATACAGTTTGATCCCAAGTGACAACCAAAATCCTTTAAAAAAATCTTGAATTAAACTAAAATATTGCTAGTTGCCTTTGGGAGATAAAATTATGATGATCTTTAAGCCTTTTTGTATGTATTTTCTCTGCTTTCTGTAATTTCTAAAAATATTTTGTGATTTAAAAAAAACACAGAAACCCAAAAGCAGAGGGAGAAACATGAAGAAAAGTAACTTTTATCCTATTAATTAAATTAAAATTGGTTTCTCCTGTGCCATAGTTTGTTCATCTGTGACTTCATGTGTGACTGCAGTTGGGGGCTCAGTTGGATGACGTCATTTTTCTATCTGTATTTTATATTCCCTTCAGGAGGCTTATTTTGAGGAAATACACAAAGACTATAAATTAAGAAATGGAAGTAAAAAGAGCCCTAGCTCATAGGAGCATACTTTTAACTATTTCAATTTTCAAATGTTTTCTTGTATCAGGACAAGATTACCTCTGTCTATGGGTTTCACTTTTTCACCTTGAGGCTGAAGTGATTAAATGGGGATGAAGAGATAAAATGCTTGTAATGAAATAAGGTTTGAAGTAGCTCTGTATTCCTTCTCCTTTATTTTCTTCTGAAGTTTTAATAGTATTCATCTATCTTACTGTTTTATAAAAATGATATATGCTTATTATATAAATGCAAGCAATAAAGAAAAGTAGGTGGGAAGTAAAAAACATATTAAATTGCTGCACAGAAGAATCTATCATTAACAACTAGTGAACAACACTTAAGATCTCTCTCTCCCTTGGGATATATTCAGAGAGCAAGGGAGATAACTAGATCAGTAACAAGAAGTAACTTCAGAAAAATGGCATCAATCTAAATATACTATTTTCTTAAGTACTGAATTTACTTTAACTTAAACCAAAGAAAAAAGTAAAATGAAAATAATCTTTTTTTTTTTTTTGAGACGGAGTCTCACTCTGTCGCCCAGGCTGGAGTGCAATGGCACAATCTTGGCTCACTGCAGTCTCCGCCTCCCAGTTTCAAGTGATTCTCCTGCCTCAGCCTCCCGAGTACCTGGGTTAACAGGTGCCCACCATCACACCCATCTGACTTTTGTATTTTTAGTAGAGATGGGGTTTCACCATGCTGGTCAGGCTGGTCTCGAACTCCTGACCTCTGGTGATCAGCCCGCCTCGGCCTCCCAAAGTGCTGAGATTATAGGTGTGAGCCACCATGCCTGGCCGAAAATAATTTCTGAACTTCAGATTAACATTTTATCAGCAGAAGACATCATAGATCCTTAAAAGTTAAGAACAGACAGATTATAAGAAACTTTGAAAGATTAAAGTCACATATATATATACATCCTGTTTATTTTGTTTTCTATTTTAAAATGGACACTTTAAAAATATGTTTTCCTTCAGATTACACTTTTAGAGTTTGGAGTTGAATTAAAGACATTCACTACAGTATTAACCACTGGAGGCCGACAGATTGATTTATATCGGTAATGAAAAGGATTCAAGCCAGGAAAGACGTGCGCATCAGCACAGACCACCACTACTGGATTCCAATATCCCTGCTTCTGCAATTTACAGGGACACGAGTCAGCAACTCATAGTGTTCACACCACCTGTGACAGGTGACACGGCTAACCTTACAACATCAGAGGTGGCTTAAGTGTATTTGTATATAAAATCCTAGGAAAAAGAAAATTAAGAAGTAAGAAACCTGCGCATTTCTCTAATCCTCTTACATGGTCTCAAGATGTGCTAGATAGCCAAACAGATACAGGTTCCCGAAACACCACTATAGTCATACATCACATTCCATGCACACCTAGATTCTCAAGTCATCTATATCCAGCACTACAGTTTGTAGATGAAATCTGGTAAGCTGGTGGAGGAATAATGGGAGTCTGCATTTATTGAGTCTTTGCAAAGGGGAGAACTGAAGAATTGCCTAGATAATAGTTTCTAATGTTAATATTTAAAATGATGTTGCTGCACATGGAAGTTTGAAATGTATACTGAGATTTGTTACTGACTCTTCTCATCAGGACTGGCATGTTTATTCCCTGGTGCTAGAAATACTGGCATCCAGTGGTTCATAGTTACACTCTTCATTGAAATTGCCCTCAGCCTCAGGGAACTGCCTCATCTAAAATTATACCTGCTCTAGGAGGAATTCTATGGCCAATGACTGATTGAGGCAGGACACAAAGTCCCAGCCCCATGCCTCAGTTTGAGATAACTCTGAAGTGTCGTGCTTGGTCCAAAGCTCCCTGTAAGGCTAAATGAAGTTCAGGTGCAGCAGCAATGCAGGTCAGCTTCACCCTTTGCCCCATCTTGTCTTCCTCGCTTTACCACAGCTGTATCCCTTGAGAGCATTCTCCCAAATACCTCTGCAAAAAATGTAAGCCAACCTTCTTCCTAATGAGGGGCAGAAGGTGGAAAATAAGCATAATATACATAGTAAGCTTTTCACAAAACCATGTTTTATTTAATTAAAAATTAGCTTTTATTTTATTTTTTTGGTGTGTGTTTAACTGTCCATTTAAAAAAAATTCATGATGATGTTAGATGGTAATTATAATGTATGACCTCAGCTGCAGAATTTCTTCCCAAGCAGTAAGGCCAATGGCAGATAAGGAATGCAACATAAATGTCTAGCTACATGTATCTCAATTATGACCATGCCAGAGGGAGTAATAATAGGCAGCTATGTGTCCAAAATGATCTCAGCGCATGATCTCAGAGTTTCCCTTTGTCCAGATAATCTCTTCCCCTATGATTTTATTCTTTATTCTCTTTCCTCTATTCAGATCTCCCCCCCCAACAAAAAAAAGCTTATTAAAATATCATCAGCATGAAGAGGGAGTACCATGTAAGGGGAGCGAACTGGCAGTGTGCTGTGGACGTCAGCTCCACATGGCCAGATTCCAGCTAAGATGGTTGCTTGGGTGACTCCTATGGCAAAATCCAGAGCACACCTTTCAGCCTTATGTTTTCTAGGGCTTCATATATCATAGTCACCCTGTAGTGCTCTGTTAAGACACATACTTTGTACATTACAGTATGATTAAATGTAGCATGCAATATATTTTTGAGCATATAAAATAACTAAACATTTATAACCTTGATGATTATATTTTATGCATATACTAACATATTTTTTTCCCAAATGGCTGCCAAATCTGCTCCTCTCCATGAGGCCATCATCTTTATTGTCCTGCTAATCTCTTTCATACTTACCCATCTCTTCCAGCCCAGGTTACGCTTACTTAGGGGCAGTCTATGTCTTCCACTGTCTTTCAAATCTGTTGTTATGTGCAGCCTCTTTCAGAGTTTTTACTTTGATTTTCAAAAGCTTTTCCCCCTTTCAACGAAGCCTATCTCTTGCAATTAAAAACTTTTGGATTTCAGAACTATTGCTCCTGTTAATAGTTTTAAAAAGTTAAGAGTAAAAAAAACCATTTTAGAGGTATAAAACCAAACATTTACTGTTTCTCTTGATAAGAAATATGATTCTTCTAAAGAAAATGTGGATGTTTCAGACCCACTGGAATAGGGACCGTCATATACAAGGAAATACAGAAAATAATCATTTTAAGATATTATATTGGGCCACATGAATAAATGAAGCATTCATGAGGCTTTGATGCAACCGCTGTTCTGATTGTGTGTTTTCTGATTGGAGAGATTGCTTCAAGGTATTCAGTTACTTACTGTGATACATATGCCATTATTCACCTCCCCTGTATTTAATTTATCAAAATTTTTCTATGTACTCTTTCCTGCTGAACTCTGACATGTCTTCTCAAAACCCCATTCAGTTTAGTCACTACTGTTTGATCAAAGTCGAGGATCGTGGATTAAATCTATTATGTATCACTTTGGTCTTTTGGGTGTCATCTTTAAATAGGGCTTAGGAAAGGAAGCATAAATACAAATTCAGGGATTCTATCATATTTCTGTCTAATATTTCCTAATGGTTATTTATGGAGCCCATAGGTTTTACAGAATGTATTCAGAATCATTCTTCCTTAATTCAGCATACAGAGGATTTTAAAAATCTTTAACAAAGATGCAGATGAAGCTTTGTAACTCGACATACGAAGCCATGTTCTAAACAAGCTGCTTTCTATTTTAATTAAATCCTAATTAGAAGTCATAATTTAACTGAGCTGCACAAATACTCCCTATGAGCTATGAAAAGCTTACTATGGCTGTTCAAAACCCATGGGTGTTAAGATAATAACAAAGCTGTTTCACCTGGATGTGATGAGACAAATATAGAATAATTTCTTAGATGCAAGAGTAACTTCCTGACATATTTCATAAAATGGGCTTTCTGTAGGCTATTGAGTCTGTCCTATATTTAATCCATTTTTGACTCTGCTCACAGTTATTTAAAAACGTGGCCTTGCAGGTCTAGCTGCTTTCCTTAGGATCTGGTGGATTTTCCTTCAGCAGATATGCTCCAAAGCCCACTGAGCAGCCCCACACCCACCCCTCTGTCAGGAGAAACAGTCTGGGGAACATGCCCCTAAGCCAGCTGAGCAGCCGCAAGACCTCTTCCTTTGGCCAGAGAACCAGCCCTCAAGATCTGCTTCCAGTGGACAAGCCCCTGAGCCAGCCAAGTAGCCGTATGTCCATGCCCTCAGCTGGAGAAACAATTCAGTAGGCCAACCTCCAGAAGACCTACTCCCAAGCCAGCCAAGCAGCCAGAGAACCAGCCTGGTTGACCTGCCTCAGGTGGATCCTTCCTTGAACCAAACAAGCCACTGTGACATGTACCCCTCGTTGATGAAACAGCCCAGAGGCCCTGATCCTGGCAAAACAGTTCCCCAAAGGCCAACCCATCTCATGCTCCCATGCCCCTGGCCTATGAAAAAGCCCAGTGGCCCTAACTCTGCCAAGCCAGGTCCCAAACTGGTCAACCCACTGCATGCATGTGTAAACTCCAGGCCTGAGAGATAGTTTGGCAAACTCACCCCTAGCAAAGCCACACCACCACTGCCAAACTCCCATAGTGTAGGCCACCAAGGCACTCACAGACATTGCTAACATGGATTACAGCTGAAGAAACTTCATGGAAGCCTGTGTCCACCTACAGCCAAAGCCAACATAACCCAACCAAATGACATCATAGAACTCATCTATGGGAATAAGTCTTTCTCTGTGAAAGCTACTCCATAAAATTGAGATAGATGACTGTTCTACCAGCTGTACAGATATCAATATAGGGGCAAAAGAAACATGAAAAACCAAGGAAACATGACAACTTCAAAGGAACATAATAATTCTTCAGTAACAGATCCCAGAGAGAAGGAAATATGCAAAATAACAGAAAAAAATTCAAAATAATTTTCTTAAGCAAACTCAGTAAGATACAAAGAATACAGGTAAGCAATACAACAAAATCAGGAAAACAATTCATGATCTGAAAGAAATTAAACAAAGAGATAAATATTGTAAAAAAACCCACATAAATCTTGATGCTGAAGAATTCAGTGAATGAAATAAAAATACAATCGAGTTCAACAACAGACAAGAACAAGCAGAAGAAAACATTTATTAACTTAAAGACAGATCTTTTGCAATAATCCAAGTGAAAAGAAAGAATGAAGAAAGCCTACAAGACTCATGGGGCACCATATGAGATTTCAAGAAGAGAACATGGAGATGGGAAAAAGTGTAAAAAAACCTATTTAATTAAATAATAGTTGCTAACTTCCCAAGTCTTGCAATAGTATGGTTACCAGTTCCAAAAAGTATAGAGATTCTCAAATAGATTCCATGCAAAAGGGTCCTCTCTAAAGCACATTATAGTCAAATTGTCAAAAGTCAAAGACAGAGAATCCTAAAACCCACAAGAGAAAAATGTCACTCAGTATGTAGTAGCCATTCTTTATCCAATTGCCACCAGGGGTCTCAGAGAAAGAAAAGCTTTCGTGTGTTAAAAGAACAAACCTTGGACAAATAAAATTTAACAGAGCTTAATTGAGCAAAGAATGATTTATGAATTGGGCAGCCTCCCAAGCCAGAGTAGGCTCAGAGAGGCTCAAGCACAGCCATGTGGTGGACGATTTATAAACAGAAAAAGAAAAGTGACATACAGAAAATGGAAATGAGATGGCAGATTAGAGGCTTTTAGTGTGCCTCAGTCACTGGGAAATAACAAGATGCTGCATTAAGATGAACTCTGTGAGCAAACGGGAATCTGTGAGGTCCATAAAGATCAACTCTGTGAGAAACACGGAATAGGCAACCACCTAACAACTTCACAATAGGATGAAAACCTCACATATCAATATTAACCTTGAATGTAAATAGTCTAAACACCCCACTTAAATTAGACAGTGTCAGGTTGGATAAAATAACAAGCGTTATCCATCTGCTGTCTTCAAGAAACCCGTCTCACATGTGATAATGCCCATATGCTCAAAGTAAATGGTTGGAAAAAGATATGCCACACAAATGGAAAATGAAAAAACAGCAGGGGTCACTATTATTATATCAGATAAAACAGAGTTTAAACTAACAACATTAAAAAAGGACAAAGAAGGGCATTACATAACGATAAAGCGTTCAATTCAGAAAGAAGAGTTAACATTCCTAAATGTATATGCACACAACACTGGCACACCCAGATTCATAAACAAGTACTTCTAGACATATGAGACACTTAGCAACACAATAATAGTGGGAGACTTCAACACCCCATGGATAGCATTAGACCAATCATGGAGGCAGAAAGCTAACAAAGAAATTCTGGACATAAATTCAACGCTTAACCAATTGGATCTAATAGATACCTACAGAATACTTGACCCATTGACCACAGAATATACATTTTTATCATCTGCACACAGAACATACTCCAAGATTGACCACATGCTCAACTATGAAGCTCAAAAAATTAAAAAAAGTAAAATTGTACCAATTATGCATTCAGACCCAATGGAATAAAAAAATAGAAATCAATACCAAAAGGATATCTAAAACACACAGAATTATATGGAAATTAAACTACTTGCTCTTGAATGACTTTTGGGTAAACAGTAAAATTAAAGCATAAATAAAAATGTTCTTTGAAATAAATAAAAACTGAGACACAACATACCAAAATCTCTGAGATGCAGCAAAAGCAATGTTGAGAGGAAAGTTTATCATCCTGAACACCAGCCTCAAAGAGTTAGAAAAATCTCAAATCAATGATCTAACAACACACACCAAGAGGAGCTAAGAATACAAGAACAAACAAGCCCCCAAAGTACAAGAAGAAAAGACATAAATGAAATCAAAGCGTAACTGAATGAAATTGAGACCCAAAAATACATACAAAAAATTAAAAAATCCCAAAACTTGTTTATTTGAAAGGATAAATATGACAGAACTCTAGCTAGATTAACAAGGAAAAAACCAGAGAAGATCCAAATAAGCACAATCAGAAATGACAAAGGTGTCATTACCACTGATCCCATAGAAATACG
This sequence comes from Homo sapiens, assembly GCF_000001405.40. Classification (NCBI taxonomy): domain Eukaryota; kingdom Metazoa; phylum Chordata; class Mammalia; order Primates; family Hominidae; genus Homo; species Homo sapiens. The sequence goes on along the minus strand of NC_000010.11, from coordinate 90,570,609 downwards.
AAACATCCTCAGAGATATTATGAAAACCTTTTTGTACACAAACTAGAAAATCTAGAGGAAATGGATAAATTCCTGGAAACATAAGACTTCCCAAAACTGAATCAGAAGGAAATTGAAACCCTGAACACACAAATATCAAGTTCTGAAATTGAGCCGGTAACCAAAAAACTACCAACGGGGGGTGGGGTAGGGGTGGGGGTGGGGGAAGACCTGGACCAGATGAATTCATAGTTGAAGACTACCAGATTTACAGAGAAGAGCTGGTACTAATTCTACTGGGACTTTCAAACAATCAAAGAGAAAGGACTCTTCCTTAACTCATTTTTTCAAAGCCAGTATCACCCTAATACCAAAACCTGGAGAAGAAAACATGAAAAAAACGAAACCAAAAACACACTACAGGACAATATCCCTGATGAACATAGATGCAAAAATTCTCAACAAAATACTAGCAAATTGAATAAAACAGCACATCAAAAATTTAATTCGCCATGATCAGGTAGGCTTCCTTTCTGAAGTGCAAGTTTGATTCAACATATGCATATCAACAAATGTGATTCATCACATAAACAGAATTAAAAACAAAATGAAACGATTATTTCAACAGACACAGAAAAAAAATTTAGTAAAATCCAGTATCTCTTCATGATAAAAACCTTCAACAAACTAGATATTGAAGGAACATACTTCCAAATAATAAAAACCACCTATCACAAACTCACAGTCAATGTCACACTGAATAAGCAAAACCTGGAATCTTTCCTTTTAAGAACTGGAAGAAGACAAGGATGACCACTCTCACCATTCCTATTCATCATAGTACTGGAAGTGCTAGCCAGAGCAACCAGGCAAGAGAAAAAGTTAAAGGCATCCTAATAGGAAAAGAGGAGGTCAAATTATTTCTCTTAGCTGATGATATGATTCTACACCTAGAAAACACTAAAGACTCTACCAAAATGCCGCTCCAAGAACTGAAAAACAAGATGAGTAAAATTTTATGATATCAAATCAACATACAAAAACCAGTAACTGTTCTATATACAAATAACATTCAAGCTGAGAGCAAAATCAAGAATGCAATCCCATTAACGATAGTCATGAAAAAATAAAATATCTAGGAATACTTCTAACTAAGGAGGTGAAAGATCTCTAGAAGAAGAACTACAGAACTGCTAAAAGAAATCATAAATGACACAAACAAATGAAAAAATATTCCATATTCATGTACTGGAAGAATCAATATCATTTAAATCACCATACTGCTGAAAGCAATTTACAGATTCAATGCTATTCCTATCAAACTACGAACATTATACAGATTTAGAAAAAAATCTATTCTAAAAATATATATGGAACTAAAAAAGAGCCCAATGGCTGAAACAAGCCTAAGCAAAAAGAACAAAGCTGGGTCATCACATTACCCAACTTCAAACTATTACAAAGCTACAGTAACAAAAAGAGCATGGTACTGGTACAAAAACAGACACATAGACCAATGAAACAGAATAGAGAATTTAGAAATAAAGCTTCACACCTGCAGCCATGTGATACTCAACAAAGTCAACAAAAATAAACAATGAGGAAGGGACTCCCTATTCAATAAATGGTGGTGGGATAGCTGGCTAGCCATAGGCAGAAGAATGAAACAGGACCCCTACCTTTCACTATATACAAAAATTAACTCAGCATGGATAAATATTTAAATATAACACCTAAACTATAATAATTCTAAAAGAAAATGTAAGAAAAACCATTCTGGACACCAGTCTTGGGAAACAATTTATGACTAAGTCCTCAAAAGTAATTGCGATGAAACAAAAGTTGGCATGTGGGATGTAATTAAACTAAGGAGCTTCTGCACAGCAAAAGAAACTATCAACAGAATATATAGGCAACCTAGTGGATGAGAGAAAGTATTCAGAAACTATGCATCTAACAATAGTCTAATATCCAACAAGAAAAATACAAAACCCCCATTAAAATAGGCAAAAGACATCAACAGACACTTCTCAAAGGAAAACATGTAAGTGGCCAAGAAACATATAAAAATTACTCCACATCATCAATCATCAGAGAAATGCAATTCAACACAACAATGAGATACCATCGCATGCCAGTCAGCATGGCTATTATTAGAAAGTAAAAAAAAAACTATAGATGCTGGTGAAGCTGTGAAGAGAAAGGAGTGTTTATATACTGTGGATGGGAATGTAAATTAATTCAGCCACTGTGGAAAGCAGTATGGAGATTTCTCAAAGAACTAAAAACAGAACTACCATTTGACCCAGCAGTCCCATTCCTGGGTACATATCCAAAGGAAAATAAATTGTTCCACCAAAAAGACATGCACTCATATTTTTGTCACAGCATTATTCACATAGCAAAAACATATAATCAACCTGGATGCCCATTAAGGTGTATTGGAAAAAAATATGATACATATATACAATGGAATACTACACAGCTATAAAAATGAATAAAATCAATTCCTTTGCAGCAACATGGATGCAGCTGGAGGCCATTATCCTAAGCAAATTAATGCAGAAATAGAAAACTGAATATTTGTATGTTCTCACTTATAAGTGGGAGCTAAACACTGGGCAAACAGGGACGCAAAGAAAGAAACAATAGATACTGGGGACTACAAGACTGGGAAGGAAAGCGGAAAAGGTTGAAAAACTACCTCTTGGGTACTGTATTCAGTACCTGTGTTACAGGTTCAATCATACCCTAAACCTCAGCAAGTTACAATATACCCTTGTGACAAACCTGCACATGCACCACTTGAATCTAAAATGAAAGTTGAAAAAAAGAGAAAAGTGTCAACTCACATATAAGATAGTCCCTCTAGACTAAAAGTGATTTCTCAGAACAAATGTAACAGTTCCTGAGAGAATAGGACGTCACATTCAAATGCTGAAAGAAAAAAAGAATGCCAGCTTTTTACTCACAAAACTGTCCTTGAGAAATTAAGCAGAAATAAAGTCTTTCTCAGATTAGCAAAAAATAAGGGGTTCATCAGTCACTAGATGAACCTTAAAAGAAATGGTTAAGGAAGTACTACATCTGAAAGAGAAAAGGTGGTAACTACTAACATGAAACACACAAACATATAAAATTCATTGGTACAACAGTTACACAAAGGAGAAAGAAATATGAATAAAATGTTATTACTACAGAAGACCACTAAACCACAGTGATAAACAAGAGAGGAAGAAAGGAACAAAGAATACACAAAACAGCTAAAACATTAATAAAATGGCAGGAGTAAGTCCTCACCTACCAATAGTAAATATTAATGTAAATCAATTAAATTTTCTGTAAAAAGCACAGACTGATGGAATGGATTAAAAAGCAAAAAAACAGCAACACAAACAAGACCCAACTATATGGTGCTTACAAGAAACTCACTTTATTTGTAAAGAAACAGTTTTCATAGACTGAAAGTGAAGGGAAGGACAAAGCTATTCCGTGCAAATAGATACCACAAACAGGTAGGAGTAGCTATACTTAGCTAAAATAGACTTTAAGTTTAAAAAAAACTCCAAAAAGAAACAAAGAACGACATTATATAGTAATAAATGGGTCAAATCAGCAAGAGGATATTAGAACTAGATTCATATATGTACCCAATGCCAGAACACTCAGGCATGTAAGACAAATGTTGTAAGATATAAAGGGAGAGACAACCTCCAACACAATAATAAGTGAGGGCATCACCCCACTCTTACCATTGGACAGCTCATCTAGACAGAAAATAAAATAAAAAAAAATTGGCTCAAAACTGCCCCATAGACCAAATGGACCTAACAGACATTTAAGGAACATCTCACTCAACAGCTGCAGAATGCACATTCTTTTCATCATCACATGGAACATTCTCCAAGATTGACCATATGGTAGGATACAAAATAAGTTTCAGAATTTTTTAAAAATTGAAATTATATCAAGTATCTTTTCTGACCACAATGGAATAAAACCAGAAATCAACAAGAAGAGTTAAAACCATACATGGATATTAAACAACGTGCTCCCGAATTATCAATGGGTCAATGAAAAATTTAAAATGAAAATTTAAAAGTCTTGAAGGAAATGAAAATAGAAGCACAACATATCAAAACCTACGGAATACATCAAAAACAGTATCAAGACACAAGTTTATGGCAATAAATGCCTACATCAAAAAAGTAAAAAGATTTCAAATAATCTAACAATTTAGCTTAAGGAACTACAAAGGAACACATCAGACTCAATATTAGTAGAAGAAAAGAAATAAGAAAGATCAGAACAGAAATAAAATTAGTCTAAAAGACAATATAAAAGATTAATGAAACAAAAAAGTTGGTTTTTTGAAAAGATAAACAAAATTGACAAATCATTAGCTAGACTATTAATGAAAAAAGAGAGAAGACTCAAATAAATAAAATGAGAAGGAAAAAGAGACATCATAATTGGTACCGCAGAAATACAAAGGATCATTAGAGACTACTATGAACAACTATTTTCCAACAAATTTGAAGGCCTAACTAAAATGGATACGTCCCTGAATACATAGCCTACCATAATTGAGCCAAATAAAAATAGAAAACCATAATCAGTAATGAGTAACAAGCTTGAATCAGTAATAAAAAGTCTCTGAACAAAGAAAATTCCAGGACTAGATGGCTTTACTGTTGAATTCTGTCAATCTTTTAAGGAAGACCTAATTCTCAAAATATTCCAAAATATTGAGAGAAAAAGATTTATTCTAAACTCATTTTACAGGGCCTGCATAATCCTGATACCAAAACCAGATAATACACAACAAAAAAGAAAACTTCAGCCCAATATCCAATGAACATAGATTAAAATATCCTCAACAAAATTCTAGCAAATTGAATCCAACAGCACATCAAAAATATTATACATTATAGTCAAGTGTAATTTATCCTGGAGTTGCAAGGATGGTTTAACATACATAAATCAATAAACATGATACATCACATCATCAGAATGAAGGACAAAACCCATATAATCCTCTCGTAGATGCAGAAAAAGCATCTGATAAAATTCAACTACACTTTGTGTTAAAAATTCTTGTCAAATTAGGTATAGCAGGAATATACCTTAATACAGTGAAGGCCATATATAAAAAACCCACAGCTAACATTTTATGGACTGGGGCAAAGCTGGAAACTTTTCCTTCATGATCTGAAACACAACAAGGATGCCTGCTCTCAACACTTCTGTTTGATGTAGAACTGAAAGATCTAGCCCAGAGCAGTTAGGCAAGAAAAGAAATAAAGTGCATCCAAATTGAAATGGAGAAGGTTAAATTGTCCGTATGTGTAGATGACATGATCTTATACATAAAAAACTAAAGAATCCACCAAAAAAGTCCTAAAACTGATTTAAAAAATGCAATAAAGTTGTAGGATACAAAATCAAAACACATACATTAGCAGCAATTCTATACACCAACAATGAAGTAACTGGAAAAAATCAGGAAAGCAATTTTATTTACAATAGGTATGAAAAATAAAATATGTACAGATAACTTTAACCAAGGAGATGACAAATCTCTACAAGAAAAAGTGTAAAACACTGATGAAAGAAATTAAAAAGGACAAACAGATAGATATCCCCTGTTCAAGAACTGAAAGAAGTTATATTTTTTAAATGACCATATTAGTGGAAGAGATCTACAGAGTTAATGCAATCCTTGTCAAAATACCAATGATATTCCTCACAGAAATAGAAAAAACAATCCTAAAATGTGTATAGAACCACAAAAAAGCCAAATAGCCACAGAAATCCTCAGCAAAAAACAAAGCCGGAGGCATCACACTACCTGACTTCACAAAATACTGCAAAGCTATCGTTACTGGAACAGTGTGGTATTGGCAGAAAAATAGACACATATGCCATTGGAACAGAATAGAGAGCTTAGAAATAAATGCACATATTTATAACCAAGTGATTTTTGACAAAGTTTCCAAGAATATTTATTTGGTAAAGGACAGTCTCTTCAGTAAGTGGTGCTGGGAAAAACTGTATATTCAGAAGATTGAAACTAGGCCCCTATCTCTCATCTTATAAAAAAATTAACTGAAAATAGATTAAACACTTATCTGTAAGATCCAAAATAATAAAACTACTACAAAAAACATAGGAAAAAAGCTTCAGAACACTGGTCTGGGAAAGGATTTTATGGCTAAGACTTCAATAGTAAAGGGAAAACAAGCAAAAATAGACAAATGGAATTATTTCAAACTAAAAAGCTTCTGCACAGCAAAGGAAACAATTAAAAGAGTGAAAAGACAATCTATGCAATGGGAGAAATTATTTGAAAATTACCTGAAAAGGGATTAATATCCAGAACATTCAGAGAACTCAAGTCAATAGCAAAATAAAACAAAAAATCTGATTAAAAAATGGGCAAACGATCTGTGTAGACATATCTCAAAAGAAGACATAGAAATGGCCAAGAAATATATGACAAAATGCTCAAGATTACAATTATCAGGGAAATGCAAATCAAAACCACAATGAATTATTATCTCTACTCAAAATGGCTATTTTCAAAAAGACAAAAATTAATAAATGCTGGTAAGGATGCAGAGACAAGGAAATTCCTATACACTGTTGGTTGGAATGTAAATTAATATAGTTATTATGGAAAAGAGTATGGAAGTTCCTCAAAAAACTACAAGTAGAACCATATGATACAGCAGTCCTACTGCTGGATATATATCCAAAGGAAAGGAAATCAGTATATTGTTGAGACATCTGCACCCCTATGTCTGTAGCAGCACCATTCACAATAGCCAAAATATGAAACCAATCAAAGTGTCCATCAGCAAATGAATGGATAAATAAAAAGTGGTATATATACATAATGGAATACTATTCAGCTATAAAAATGAAACCCTGTCATTTGTGGCAACATTGATGAGCCTGGAGAACATTATTTTAATTTAAACAAGACAGAACAGACAAACACCACATATTTTCACTCGTATGTGGAAGTAAAAACAAAGTTGATCAAATAGAAGTAGTGAATTGAATAGTGGTTGCAAGAGGCAGGGAAAGTAGTGGAGAGAGGGTATAGAAAGAGATTGGTTGAAGGATACAAAATTACAGCCAGATAGGAGAAGAGGAATGAGCTCTAGTTTTCTACAGCACTATAGGATGACTATAGTTAATAATTTATTATATACTTTCAAAAGGCAGAAAAGAGTATTTTGAATGTTCTTAACACACAGAAATGATAAATGTTTGAGGTGATGAATATGCTAATTACTCTGGTTTGACCATTACACATTATATGTACCAAAATATCACTATGTACTCTGTGAATATTTACAATTATCATGTGTCAATTTAAAAAATAGAATGAAAACATAGTTTTGATTATCATATACTCTTGCCTCTACCCATAGCTTAAAATCTCTGTTGGTTACAAAATATGGTTTGAATTCATTATCACCTAACACATGTGACCCAGCCAAACCTTCCTATACTATTCTTGCATATACTGTTACTCTCAATATCTGCCTCCACCAATCTTACTTTTAGGCTGTACTCCAACACTTGCCATGCTGTAAACCTAAAGATAATGTCTCTTCTCTGTGGTTTTACACATACTGTTTTCTATCTGGACTGTCCTTTCTCTCTTCTTCTGCATCACAATTACCTTAAAATGTCATAGTGATGAAGTGTGGATGGTTTAGACAGTGTTGGGTCTGAATGCCAGTTTGCATGCTACTTCCCAGCTGAGTGAGTTTGTTGTACAGGTTACATCATTCTCCCCATCTCACCCAAAACTTGTTTTTGTATTCTGCTCAGATGAAAAATAAAAGCAAATGAAATAGTAATATATTTACGGTCATGATCAAAGAGAAGAAAATTTAGTGAAATTGGAAATTTTTACTTACAGTTATAATGTGGGCCAGCATTCTATATTTCAGGTTCATATAAACTTTTCCATATCACAAAGTGGTAGCCATACAACTATTTGAAGGACTTGAGAAGTGCAATTCCACTAACAGGTCTGCTGTAATTGGCTTCCTTTGTAGATAGGCATAGCGAGTGTCAATATCCTCCAGCCAAACACCACCAAGAACATACTTGTCGTTTAGTAAGTGGGGTTTCTTACTCACTTATGCTTTATTCATAGAGAGGGAGAGCATACATCATAAGAAACCATGGGTTGTTTCTCAGTAAGAGACTGTTAGAAAAAAACTGATATGAGATTTGGGCTTTGGTTGGGTGATTGTAGGAAAAGCTAAGGAAGTAGAAGTTTGCTCTATGTTGGGTGCTGTCAAAAAGTAGAAACATTGGGTATCTCAATCTTATAAAAAAGCAGAACAATTCTATGATTGAACATCTTAATCTTATCTGTCAGACTTAAACAAGGATAAAGCTGTATTTAGTAAAGAAGCATCAGTCGCTTGTATTAGCCAGGAGGGGTAATATTTAGTATATTGTGGGATGCCTGGTAACTTTGTGCTTATCTGTGCTTAGACAAAGCTATGAAATTTTGCTTCAGTTTATCATGGACTCAGAGTGAGCATATCTGATATTGGCATTCCGTGAGATTATGTACAACAGGAGAATACAATGGTTTAGCTGTGAGTTACAGGCCAGCTTCAAACATCACTGAGGCCTAGTTGCAAGTGTCAGGCCATTTTCCAGATATCAGGGCATTTTTTTCCGTTTTTCATGAGAGAAAAGTGAGAGATTATATAAAAAGTATTTCTGTGGTTTGTGGCTTTTTTGAATTATCTATATAGGAATCACAGAAAAAGTTGTTCATTTTTCTGGAATCTTCTGGGTGAGACTTTCACTTAGTGATTATGGGAGCCAGGAAGGGGCTGAAATTTGGCATGAGTTTACTCTCCAAAGACTCAGAGAACTGGCTTTGTTACAAGTGTTGCCAGAAGACGTCCGCCTAGGAGGGAATCCATAGTAAGAATCCAAGCAAGCAGCCATTTCCTTCACTTCATCTCTTGACTTTCAGTCTCCCCTCCACCTGTGAGTGTCTTGGTAGCCTTCTATGTCTGCGTCTCTGTGAATGCCTATAAGCCCCTAGGTATGTGCGCTTCTGTTCCTGGAGTGTCATTTTTAGTGCTAACCTTTCTTCCTCTGTGTCAAGTGTTGCTTATGTCATTCAAGCTCTCAAACTTATTTAATTTTTAAGACATACAAAAGTCTAAAGAAAAATGTGGCAAATATTCACATACCTACTTCTCAGTTTAAAAAAATAAATAATCGGCAACCCAGATTTCTCTTCTGTATTTGTTCCTGATCACCTTGCCTCTCTTCTACCCAGAGGTAACCATTATCCTGAATTTGGTGCTTCTTTCATATATTTATTTATACTTTATACATATGTATATGTATCACAGAGCAATGTATTGTACAGCTTTGGATGGTTTTAAATTTTATATAAAGAGCTTTATGTATATTCTATAGCTCATATCTTTTGTTCAACATATTTGTGAGATTCACCAGTGTTGATACACAGTTATTGTTTATTCATTTTCTTTGTTATATATCAATTATTTTTATGCATATGCTCTGATTTATTACTGATTATCTTGTGTTGAACATTAAGATTATTGGGGTTTTTTTTCTAGTTGTTGCAAAAAAATATTGCTATGAATAGTGTCATACATATTTCCTGCAGTACAGGTGGGTGAAATTCTCTAGGATTTATATGTAGGAGTTAAATTTTTGAGTCATAGAATATGTGTCTGCAACTTTAATGCTCTAAACTGATCACAGCAATTTACCCACCCACCAGCAGAACAGGAAAGTTCCCCAGTCTCCACATTCTGCCAATGTTTGTTATTCTTGCACTTTAAAATTTTGTGATATGATGAGGTAAAATGGTATCATTTTTATTTTCGTTTACATTTCCCTATATGCTGTATTTTATTTATATGTTCATTTATATTTTCCTGTTTCCTGTGAAATTAGGCAACTTTTAATGTGGTATCTGTCATTCCTGTGGTATTGGTCACCTGAATTAGCTGCTCATATCATTTGCCTATTTTCTATTTGTTTATTTGCCTTTCTGTTGATTGGAGAAGTTGTTTGCATGAACTGCATATGGTCTGGCTGCAAGTATCATCATGTAATCTGTGGGATATGTTTCTATTCTTTGTGGTATTTTTGAGAAATGGAAGTTTTTCAATTTTCACAGAACCAAGTTGTTCTGGTTTCTAGGGCTGTGTAAGGAGCACCCTATAACTCCGTGGCTTAAAACAGTAACAGTTACTTTATCTCCCATGGTTTCTGTGGGTTAGGAATTAGGGAAGGGCTCTGCTGAGTGTTTCTGGTACAGGGTCTTTTATGTGGTTGCAGTGGGATGGTAGCTGGGACCGGAACAGTGGGAAGCTGGCTGGATATTTCTCTCTTTTTACTTAGTCTCAGAATTTTTCTCTACTATGTCTCTGCAGTGGCTTGCTTGAGTTTCCTCACAGCATGACAGTGCTGAGGTGTGCTGATTACCTGGCAAGTAAAAGCTGTAGTGTGAGTATTTCACAAGTAAGGTGGAAGCTGTATTATCTTTCACCCAGCCTTAAAATTTTAAAATGTTCGTTCTGCTGTTTCTTTAGTCAGAAGTCACAGAAGCCAACCCATTTGCCAAAAGAGAGAACATAGCCTTGATCTCTTAATGGGAGGAGTGATGAGATTGCATTACAAAAAGAGTATGTGGAATAAAGAATATTGTTGTGGCCATCTTTGGAAAATATAATCTGCTGCATAGATTTATCAATATTTCTCTTTGCAGTTTTGAAAAAATCTTGATTTATAAGTCCCTTTCTAACTCAAGGACATAAAAATGTTCTCCTTTACATGTCTTTATCAATTTTTAAGTTTACACATTATGTCTTTAATCACAAATTGATTTCTGTGAATTATAGTGATGAAGTTACCTAATTTAATTCCTATTATTCTAGAATACATTATTTATTTTTCTTAGTGATTTGTTCCTGTAGACAGAAATGCAAGTGATTTTGTAAATTGGTCATATATGCAAAATCTTTGCTGAACTCAATTTATAATAAATATAAAATGACTGTATATTCTCTTGGAGGCCCTAGTGAAAAATAAAAGTTTTCTTTCTTGTTATTCAATCCTTGTATTTTTATTTATTTTTCTTGTCTTATCTTGGTGATGGAGATCTCTAGTGTGATACTGAGAAAAGGAGGTAAAGATGGGCATCCTTGTCTTGTTTTTGATCAGTGGTGGTGCTAGATTTGTTATAAATTAAATTTTCATCAACGGAGATAGTGAAGTAATGACTCAAAAGTATATTCCTCCATAAAAACACTGGGGAAAAAAACTGACAAAAAATGTTAGAAACAACTTTTGTTGGAACTCTGGAAACTAACTAAAAGTTTGCAGCAACCAGGGAAACACTCAATGAAGAGAAACTGGTGAATCTTCTTAAGAACAGATAGCTTGTGGTGTTTTACCTTATCCTGGTCCCATCTCCCCGCTTCCTAGATCAGCAACGGCTTTTAAGAAAACAGCCCACATTTCTCATACAGAAACTGCTACCAGAGGAAGAAAAAAAGAACCTAATTACAAAGAATTGTAGTTTTTGATTATGTCCTTCAAAAAATGTATCAATTTCATATAAACTGTAATTTATTGACTTTATTTCACAACATTCCCTAATGGCCCCTTATTATTTATAGTGATGACACCTCACCCAAAGCTGACATTTTTATTTTATGTCTTCTCTTTTCATTAGTTTGCCTAGAGGTTTATCAACTTTGTTGATCTGTGCAATGGAGTAGCATTTGGTTTCACTGACTTTTTTCTATTATTTTTCTGTTTTCTATTTGACTGATTTCTGCTCTGATTTTTATTATTCTTGAATTTTTATTTCTTTGGATTTAACTTGCTCTCCTTTTTCTCACTTATTTAGGTGAATATGAGATTAATGCTTTGAGACCATTCTTCTTTTCTAATCATGGGTATTTAGTGTTATAAATTTTCCTCAATGCACTACTTTAGCTGCATCTCACAGATACTGATGTTTTGTATTTTCATTTTCATTCAGGTCAAAATATTTCCTGAGTCTCTTTTTGGTTTATTTTTTGACCCATGAGTTATAATAATAATATAATAATACTTGATTTGAATCTTCTAAAATTTGTTCAGACTTTCCAATGATCTATCTTGGTAGATGTGCCATGTGCTGTATATACCTGAAAAGAATATGTATTCTGCTGTTTTAAGGTGGAGTGTTCTATAAATGTCAATTGAGTCAAGTTGTTTGATGATGTTGCTCAAACCTTCTATGTCCTTACTGGCTTTCTCTCTACCCTTCATATTAACTATTGAGAGAATAGTGTTGAAATTTATAACTTTATTTGCATTTTTCTGTAACTCTCTGTGGTTTTATAAATTTTGCTTCATATATTTTAATACTTTATTAGACAACATAATTATCTCCTTGGTTTTTTGAATTATTGTTTTCATGCATTTTAATTTTATATTTTACTTCTATTTTAAACCACACAAGACATTATGTAGAGGCCATATTCATTTGTTTATGAACAAATTTATTATTTCAATTGATTTTTACAGTTTTCTATATTTTCATGTTTCCCTCTGGGGTATTTTCTGTCTCCCTGAACAACTCTCTTTGGTATTTGTTTTAGAGTGATTCTGCTAAAGATGAATTACTTCAGATTTGGTTTTCTGAACGTAAATATTTGAAGGATATTTTGTTCAATATAGAATTTCTGATTAGTAATTATTTTCTTTCAGAAATTTAAAGATGCCACTTCATTATTTTCTAACTCCTATTGTTTCTGTTGAATATTTTGCTGTAAGTCTTATTGCAACTCCTATAAGCATAGTGTGTCATTTTTATTCAGGTTTCTTTTACAATCGTATGTATTTGGTTTTTAGCAGTTTTACTAGGATGTACCTAGGTGTGGTGATTCTTCATATTTATTTTGCTTGGATTTTCAGAGCTTCTTTTATCTGTAGGTTGATCTAGTTTCTGTTTCACCAAGCTCAGCAAAAAATTGTAGTACATACATAGAATGGAATATTAGTCTGCCTTTAAAAAGAAGGAAATCCTGACATATGCCACAACATGGATGAATCTGAAAGATATTATGCTGTGTTAAATAATCCAGTCACAGTAAGAACAAATACTGCATAATTACATTTATATAAGGTATCCAAAATAGGTCAAATTCATAGAAACAGAGAGTAGAACAATAATTTTCAAGGGCTAGGGGAGAGGGAAATGAGAAATTGCTGTTCAGTGAATATAAAGCTTCAACTATGCACAATAAATAAGTTCTAGAGATCTACTGTATGGCATACTGCTTATAGCTAACAATGCTGTATTGTTCATTTAAAATTTTTGTTAGGGAAGTACGTCTTATGTTAAGTGTTGTTACCACAAAAATCAAACAATAAATAAAGCCAGAAAGAGGCATGAGGAAATTTTTGGAGGTGCTGAATATATTTATTACCTTGATTATGATGATGGTTTCACAGCTATACATATATGTCCAACTTCATTAAATTGTATATATTAAATATGTGTGCTTTTCTCTATATCAATTATACCTCAATAAAGCTGTATAAAAAAGCCAAGAGGGGCTGGGCATGGTGGCTCACGCCTGTAACCCCAGCAATTTGAGAGGCCGAGATGGGTGGATCTCCTGAGGTCAGGAGTTCGAGACCAGCCTGGCCAACATGGTGAAACCCTGCCTCTACTAAAAATACAAAAATTAGCTGGGCATAGTGGCCAGCGCCTGTAATCCCAGCTACTCGGAAGGCTGAGGCCGGAGAATTGCTTGAACTTGGGAGGCAGAGGTTGCAGTGAGCCAAGATCACGCCATTGCACTCCAGCCTGGGTGACAAGAGCAAGACTCCATCTCACAAAAGAAAAAAATAAATAAATAAGAAAGCCGAGAGGACAGAAGAGAAGATGCCTCACAGCTGACTGAAGATGGAGAAAGGGGTCATGAGTGGTGTCTGAAAGCTGAAACAGGCAAGATACGGATTATCTCCTGGAGACTCTGGAAGGAATGTAGTCCTAATCTTAGCTTTGGTTTCAGCCTCATAAGACTCATTGTGGACTTCTGACTTCCAGAACTCTGAGAATCAATTAGTGTTGTTTTAAGCCACATATTTTGAGGCAATTATTATGATAGTAATTAACTGATACAGTTAGCCTGTGATTACAAATTTTTTGGGAGATTCCTCTTTTTTATTTTCAAACTAAGCAGAGGCCTGGGATAGACACAACTTTTTGCCATTTCTCCTTCTATGGTCTTGGGTACCTGCAGAAGTTTCAGTTAAACTCCTGACCTTCTGGGGATCCAAGTTTTTGTCTCCCATTCTTGTGCTGCTGTTAAAGTTAAATAGTTGTTTTCATGTCAGCCAGTGCTTCTAGCAGCCTGGCAATCTTATCTCTCCTGTTTTTAGTTGTGTCTTATCCAGTATTTCTCAATAGTGGTAGCAGAAAAGAGTCTGATTCTAATATAATTGCTTAGAATGCAATTTATTTTAAAATCTGTAGTGTGAACATAATAATAGCACCAAAAAATAGGATTGTAAACATTCAATAAACATTGCAACGATGATAAAGATGATGATTCTGATGACGATTGAGGTAACTTACGGTTTCTCCAACATGCCTAAATTAATATTCTGTTCTTTGCTTCCATACCAATGTATAAGTATGTAGCTCTACTTAGTGGTGATATATGACACACTCTGAAAAGAATTGCATTAAAGACCATATTTTGTATGGAATGTTTTAAAATTAATCTGGCTTCTTTGGGAACTACAAATTTAATTGAAACTATTATCTTAGATGTGTGTTTGAGATCTCCATCATTAAGAATATCTGAAGTAATTTTTTCCTTAATTTGAGACTTTAAGAACACAAAAACAAAAGATTGACTTAGAATGATGGAAATTGCATTTTAAATTAAATTTTTGTGGGAATTGATTTGTGATCTTCACCTTCGGACCAAACTCTGTATGAAAAGGGCATTAAATCAGAGTCATGGTGTGGACTGGGGGAAAATGGGCTTTCTAGAACACTGGAAATCTAAAGGAGAGACATTAATCAATGACATTTGGAGAATGACTCTAATTTCTGTGTTCAGAGGGGGGCATGGCTTGATGATGCTAGATTTTAAGAAGAAGGATAGCCTGCTATAATTCTCTGAAACCAAAAGGCGTAGACATTTGGTGTTAGTCCGTTCAGAAAAGTGAGGTAAGCCCAGAGTATAAGATGGAATTGGGATAGCAAAAATGGAATTTCTTATCTTTTGGAAAATCCTAGTTGTAATGACAATGCAGATAGCAACTGGATGCCTTAGGAGGGCTTAGGCCACGCATAATTATAAATCCTGCATATGTCCCCTCCCTGTGTTGCCACCTATATTTGACATGTTTTTGCATTATTAGCTAAATGAATTGGTGATTTAATCTAATCTTATAGTAATATTTAATCTATGAGAAGAGCTACAGAGCTTTATCCAGCATTCTATACAGTTACATTATGTATATAATATATAGTATATAACTACATAAACAATAAGATCTAACTACTATAAATAAAATACAGTGTATTTATATATTTTATATAGTACAATGAGATTTACTTCAAGTGCCTCCTATAAATAATTTCTGTGTGGGCAAATGAATTCTTCTTTTCTGATGTGGTTGGTATTTTTTCCCTGTTGTTCAAACTCTGCTATGTAATTCTGGGCTACTATTTGCACCTCACACTATATCATTTGATTTTGAAATAAAATAAATGAACCTCAGACTATATCAGTTTCATAAAGAAGCTGTTTGCTGTTTTAGCTAATGTAGCTGGAAAGTCATTGCTGGATCTGGGTTTCAAGTGTTGCCCAGCACTCCCCTCCGCTTCCTCTCGTCTCTACCCTTTCTTTTCCACTCCCTCTTTCATATATTGACTCTCTTTTCCTCAGTATCAACTTCATTTTCTTGGCCTTTTTTAACTCTGTGGCAGGAATGATAGTGACCAGAAACTCAAGATTGAGATGATATTTATAGCTTTTAACTCCATAACAAGAGTGATGCTTTCTCTTTATCCACGTGTCAAGCCATAGAGATGATCTGACTGGGTTTCAGTTATGTAATCACTATGGTCAGCTGTAAGAAGTGCTTTTATTGGCCAGCCCAAGGCTAATGACCATCAATGTGGGAAGCAACGTCAATTCCATCCAAAAAACAAGAAAAGTGTTTCTCACAGCCATGTGGGGATCTTTTATAAAAAGAAAGTACAAAGTCATGCTAGATCAAAAATAAGTAATAGCAAAAATAACCTACATAAATCTCTCTGTCCCATATTCTTATTAATAATAATCACTTAGTCTTATTAATTACTAAGAATAGTAATCCACTTTGTCTCAATACTGTGTTAGATCTATAAATATGTGTTGACTGCATAGAAGTTAATAAGGGCATTTCTACACGAATGTACTTTGCAGAAATATCTGCTTATAATTACTATGAATGACATCTCTCTTTCCAGTTGTGGGTGTTTCAGTTTGCTGTGTGCTTCTTTATTTCAAGTATTTTCTGGGGATTGATTTAAGGCAGATACAGCTTGAGGACTAATGGGCTCTTTGCTAACAACTGACCTGACGCAAGTCGCAATCTTTCCACGTTTGTTTCCTGAGTATGACTTTTTGCATAATCTGATTCAAATTTTATGCCCTTGTCGTGTCTCCATTTAGAGACATTTTTCATTAGTATTAGTCATGGTAATTACTGGAAATCCACTTTTTCAGTTGATTTCTATTGCTTATAAAGTGCTTCATTAAGTACCACTACAGTTTAGTTTCTCAGTTCTGAGATATGACATAAACAAGTATCGCTGTGTGAACAGTACCTAATGAGGACATTGTCAATTTCTGATTGGATACATTCATTTATGGTCCATCATTTAATAAGTGATACACATTCAGAAGTTGTAAATTTTAATAACCTTTCCTAAAATGAAAGAAAGTTTAATTCCTTTAATGATTTATACAATGATTCATATTTTTTATATCTAGCAAAGTTAGGAACCAAAACACAGTGGTTTCTCTTTTGAGAAGGCTAAAAAATATGTGAACAACACTTGAGTGAATCAGTGGAAACATGGTCATGTTCAGTATTCTGTGGTTTAGAATTGATACAAGTGGTCTAGGATGATATGGAAATTCCATCAATGCACTACCTCAGCCTCTATGCTCAGCTGCCCATCCATGCATGTTATAAGATCCAATTGTTCTGCTAAAAAGATTTATTTTATAGTTGTTTCCTCTTATATAAAGTCACTAGCAGCCAAGCTTTCTTACGGTTTTTATTCTTTCATGTCTTCTATCCTGTGGGGTACAAATAGACTGGTAATTTCAATAACATTGGAGTATTTTTTGATTGAAGATAGAATTAATGATTGCATAGACAGTTCTGATTATATGTGTTAGTAGAATAATTTATATGGTATACAAAAATTTGAAGGAAGCATGAATCCCTTTTTAGGGTATTCTGAGATGAGCACCATCAACATTTTGATGAGTATCTTTCTGTTCATCTCTCTCTCTCTCTCTCTGTCACACACACACACAAGATTTTATATAAATGGGATGATAAATGTAGATTTGTCATTATTATCTGAAAGTGTCATGAACCTATTTGTTCAGTTCACCTACCAAACTTTTTATGACAAAAATCAAGGTTTGTAGGTTCAGAAAGTGTTATTTGTGCTGTGATTAAATTTCATTTATTAATAATTTTATTTTTTAACAAGATCCCACCTCCATATTCCAGCAGTTATGTTTTCCTAGGAGTTTCTTGTTCTGGATTATTTCTATACTCCTCTCTGGCTGGGTTATTTTCCTTTGTGTTACTCACTGAGGCTCAGGTTAACACAGTTCTGTCAAACATATAAATGATGCTTCCTAAGCACAGGAATCTCTGCAACTCTGTGCTGGCTGCATACTGGACTCTACTTGTAGGTATTCTGCTAGTCTCCACTCAAGGACATAAAATAGGCTTTCTACTTCCATTCTCAGTGGCTGTAAAATCTTACATTCTGCCAGCTTTATGGGTATAGAGGATTTGGTCGATCTGTTTATCTCTCCAGTTCCTCTGAAGGCCACAAAAATCAGGATTCCTCCAGGGATGTTCATGTTGGCTAGGTCTGCACTTCTTCTCCAGAACCCTTAGATCTTGCAGGACAAATTCTCTCTAAGACACTTAGGGCTCTCTTCCACTAGGGCGTAGGCTGTCATGCATCACAGAAGTGAAAAAGTTAAGCTGTCTCTTTATGTGTGGATCCTGGACCTTGTTTACTCCCTTCAAGGAATACCCAACTTCCAGCTCCAGCCACAGAAGAAGCAATACATTAGAGTTGTCTTAGGAGGGTGGCTGGGACTCTTCAGGTCTCCATAATTCTCAGAATTGTTGCATAATATAGGAAGACTATTTTCTTGTTTAATCCTTACAACTCTATGAGAAAAATAATTTTATCATTTAGTTAATTGTTGTATTAGTCAGGGTTCTTTAGAGGGACAGAATTAATAGGATATATATATGGGAGCTTATTAAGTAGCATTACCTCACATGATCACAGGGTCCTATAATAGACCATCTGCAAGCTGAGGAGCAAGGGAGCCAGTCCGAGTACCAAAGTTGAAGAACTTGGAGTCCAATGTTTGAGGGCAGGAAGCATCCAGCATGAGAGAAAGATATAGGCTGGGAGCCTAAGCCAGTCTAACCTTTTCATGTTTTTCTGCCTGCTTTATATTTGCTGGCAGCTGATTAGATTGTGCCCACTCAGATTAAGGGTGAGTCTGCCTTCCCCAGCTCACTGATTCAAATGTTAATCTTCTTTGGCAACACCCTCACTGAAGAATACCTAGTATCCTTCAATCCAATCAAGTTGACACTCAGTATTAACCATCACAAGTCTACCCCTTGTCAATTTGAACCCATACACATCTCCTGAGATCATACATAATCTTCAAATAAAGACAATTATAAGGCCATAATTATACCTAACATAATACAACTATGCTTCCTGCAACCAAAAACACACCAATCCACAACCCAAATGCTAATACATAAAGTTAACAATGCTTAAATGCTGATATGAACTAAATAAATCTTATGTCACATGATACAGGAGAAAGGAAATAAAATGAAGATTTTGTTTTAGTGCAAGGTTATACATGCACAAACATGTTTTTAGCAAAAGAAGGAGAAAATACTCATTACAATTACAGTCCTCATTTCTGCAACTGGTCACATGGTCGTAGCTGGTATTGATGACTACCTTCTTCTACTTCCCATTCTGTGTTCCCTTTGCCTTCAGCAAGCACCTCAGCAGGTCATGGTTTTTTTTTCCTGGTGGAGTAACACAAACCTTCATTCCTGAAGGGTCTGGGCCATTTGTAGTCCTGCCTGGATTGGGCTGTTGCAGTTTCCCATTAACCTTAATCACAGGACATGAGATGCCCTAATGGATCTCTTGTATTCCATGCATACTCTTCCTTACCTCCGTTGTGGAGTAGTAGACTGATTTCATCTTGATAATCTGGGTCAATCACCCCAGCCAACACTGTAAGTCCCTTCTTAGCCTGTTGACTTAAAGGTAGGAGGAGCCCAGAGTGTCCAGGTGCCAATCTTCCATTTTAATGGAATTATTGCTGTGTCTCCTGATGGCAGCATTCCACCCTCTGGAACTAAGACTTCTAGGCCAGCAGAACATAATGTCCTGGAAACAGGAAACAAAAATTTTGCTAGCGGATCACTAGAGGTGATGGTGACTGGTGCCACTTCCACTTCTACCCCTTGATTCATGGATCCATGAATCCTGGCTATGGGAGATATACTGGATGCTGATTCAGAGCATATGTGGCCTTCTGGAGAACTTTGCCCCAGCCCTGCAAAGTATTGTCACCTAGTTGGCTTTGTAATTATGACTTCAAAAGGCCATTCTACTGTTCTATTGATCCAGCTGCTTCAGGATGACAGGAACATGATAAGACCAGGAACTCCATGAGCACGAGCCCACTGCTGCACTTCTTTAGCCATAAAGCGAGTGCCTTGGTCAGAGGCAATGCTGTATGGAATAACATCACAGTGCATAAGGTATTCTGTGAGTCCACAAATGGTAGTCTTTGCAGAAGCATTGCGTGCAGGATAGGCAAACCACTATCCGGAGTAAGTGTCTATTCCAGTGAGGACAAACCTCTGCCCTTTTCGTGATGGAAGAGGTTCAATATAATTAACCCGCCACCAGGTAGCTGATTGATCACCCTGAAGAATGGTGCCATATCAAGAGCTCAGTGTTGGTCTCTGCTGCTGGCAAATGGGCACTTAGCAGTGGCCATAGCCAGACCAGCTTTGGTAAGTGGAAGTCCATGTTGCTGAGCCCATGGATAACCTCCATCCCCGCCACAATGGCCACTTTGTTCATGGGCCCATTGGGTGATGACAGGGGTGGCTGGGGAAAGAGGCAGAGTGGTGTCCACAGGATGGGTCATTCTATCCACTTGATTATTAAAATCCTCCTCTGCTGAGGTTACCCGTTGGTGAGCACTCACATTGGATATGAAGATTTTCACATTTTTTGACCACTCAGAGAGTTCCGTCCACATACCTCGTCCCCAAATTTATTTGTCACCAATTTTCCAGTCATGCTTCTTTCAAGTCCCTGATCATCCAGCCAACCCATTGGCTACAGCCCATGAATCAGTGTATAATCTCACATCTGGCCATTTCTCCTTCCATGCAAAGTGCACAACAAAGTGCACTGCTGGAAGTTGTTCCCATTGGGAAGATTTCCCTTCATTGCTCTCCTTCAGGGATGTCCTAGAAAGTGGCTGTAGTGCTGCAGCTCTCTACTTTCAGGTGGTGCCTGCATATCATACAGAACCATCTGTGAACCAGGCCCTACTCTTCTCTTGCTCTGTCAACTGATGATAGGGAACTCCCCCATGAGACTGTTGGTGCAGGCTGGGGGAGAGAAGGCAGGGTGGCAGGAGTGGAGACCATGGGCATTTGAGCCACTTCCTCATGTAACTTACGTGTGCCTTCCAGACCTGCTCGAGCCTGATCATGTATACACTACTTCCATTTGATGATGGAATGCTGCTGTGCACAACCCACTTTATGGCTACTTGGGTCTGAAAGCACCAGTTCATGACAGGCAGTTCAGGTTGCATTGTGACTTGATAACCCATGGTCAAATGTTCAGTTTCCACCAAAGCCCAGGAACAGGCCAAGAGCTGTCTCTCAAAATGAGAGTAGTTATCTGCAGAAGATGGAAGGGCCTTGCTCCAAAATCCTGGAGGCCTCCTGTGTGATTCACCTATGGGGGCCTGCCAAAGGCTCCAAACAGCATCCCTATCTGCAACTAACACCTCAAACACTATTGGATCTGCTGGGTCATATGGTCCAAGTGGCAGGGCAGCTTGCACAGCAGCCTGGATCTGTTGCAGAGCCGCCTTCTATTCTGGACTCCACTCAAAACTGGCAGCCTTTTGGGTCACTCAATAAATAGGCTGGAGTAACACACCCAAATGAGGAATGTGTTGCCTCCCAAATCCAAATAGGCCCACTAGGCATTGTGCCTCTTTCTTGGTTGTAGGAGGGGCCAAACACAGCAACTTATCCTTCACTTTAGAAGGAATATCTTGACATGCCCCATGCCACTCTAGCCCTAGAAATTTTACTGAGGTAGAAGTTCCCAGAATTTTAGTCGGATTTATTTACCATCCTCTGGCATGCAAATTTCTCACCAGTAAGTCCAGTGTGTTTGCTACTTCTTGCTCACTGGATCCAATCAGCATAATGTCATCAATATAATGGACCAGTGTGATATCTTGTGGTGAATTGATATACTCCTGAGGTAGGAAAGTAAAGGTATGTTACTAGTCTTTACTGCTGATGGCAAATTGCTTCTGGTGTGCCTTTTATACAGGAATGTAGAAAAAGGCATTTGCCAAGTCAATAGCTGCATACCAGGTACCAGGAGATGTGTTAATTTGCTCAAGCAGTGAAACTACAGCTGGTACAGTGGCTGCACTTTGAGTCACCACTTGGTAAAGCTTATGATAATCCACTGTCATTCTCCAAGATCCACCTGTCCTCTGCACAGGCCAAATAGGAGGGTTGAATGGGGATGTGGTGGGCATCACCACTCCTGCATCTTTCAAGTCCTTTATGGTGGCACTAATCTCTGCAATCCCTCCAGGAATGCAATATTGCCTTTTTGATTTACAATTTTTCTAGGTAGAGGAAGGTCTAATGGCTTCCATTTGGCCTTTCCCATCATAATACCCTTCACCCTACCAGTCAGGGAGCCCATGTGGGGGTTCTGTCAGCTGCTAAATATGTTTATGCCAATTATGCATTCTGGCACTGGGGAAATGACCACAGGATGAGTCCAAGGGCAAACTGAACTCACTGTAAGTCAGACCTGAGCTAAAACTCTACAAATTACCTGACCTCCATAACCCCTACTTTAACTGGAGGACCACAATGATGTTTTGGGTCTCCTGGAATCAACGTCAGCTCAGAGCCAGTGTCCAGTAGTCTCTGAAATGTCTGATCATTTCCCTTTCTCCAATGCACAGCTACCCTGGTGGAAGGCCAGAGGTGTACTTGGGGAAGGATGGGAGAAAGATTCACTGCACAAATTGTCAGTAGTGTAGTGGGGTCCTTCCTCAAGAGGACCCAGCCTCCCTTTCATTCAAGGGGTTCTGGGTCTGTAAACTGGCTTGTCTGGAAATTGATTGAGGGGCCGTGATTCTCTGTTTTTATAATTTAAATTCTTCTTTTGTCCATTTGACCTGGACATTTCCTCCTTATATAAATTAAGTAGAAATGCAGTAGGCTTCCAATAAATTTCACTTCTAGGAACACTGTGATTAATTAGCCAATTCCAGAGCTCTTCACGTGTCAGACTATTCTGATTGCTGCTTTGCCTCTGCTGTCCATTATGGTAGCTATGCCCACCTTGCCTTTGACGGTTGGGTTCTGTCACTTGGCCCCTGCCACCTTGAGATCAAATTATTCCCATTGTATTTAAATTTTGTAGTTGAGTGACCGTGGTTCCCACTGTTAGATCTGACATACAGAGAAGAGCAATTATAAAGCTCCTCAAAAATGCAGGTGCTGTCCTCATAAATCTACTTTGTAAAGCATTCATCAAGGGTATATCTTCTGGGCTCTCGCAGCTGGGATGAGTAGGTATAAAGTGACTAATACACTCCATCATCCCAATCTCTCTAAGGCTTTGAATTCCTTCCTCTATATTAAGCCAAAGGAAATCAGGCATTTCCAGGCACTCACAATGGGTCGTGTTTTAATCTATATTTCAGCTAACCAAGCAAATAAATTATTAGAATGTTTTTTAACTCCCTGGGCTGCAACTTTAAATGCAGAATCCCTGCTTAGTAGGTTCAAATCAATAAATTCAGCTTGGTCCAACTCTATGTTCCTTCCACCATTATCCCACACCCTTAATATCCATTCCCATGCCTGTTCTCCAGATTTCTGTTCATATAAATTAGAAAACTCAAGCAGTTCTTTTTCAGTGTGGCACATCTCCTTGTGGGTCACACTCTCAACCTCACCTCTAGGGGTTCCTTGGGACTTTAGTCTAGTTATAGGTCTAGAAGCAAACAGGGGGTGGCTCCTGAGGAGAATCAACATTATCTTGCCTGGCAACTGCCTCAGTGGAGGCCATCACTGTTGCCTCAGGCAGCACAGGGTTTACCTCCTCAGGCAAAAGTGGAAGGGCTGATAGCAGCATGGGTCCGAGAGGGTATGCTGCCACTTCTGGGGATGGGGAAGCTCTTTCTTCTGGCAAGAAAGTTTCATTCAGACTTTACACGCCCAGTATCTCCAGCTTTATCAGGGTCCTTTCACACAACCCCATTCCAAGTTCCAAGGTCCCATTCTAATCCAAGCAATGCCTTCACTTTAATGATAGACACCTGGCAAGGCTGTGCATGCACTTTTTGTTGCAAGTCAGCCACTCACATGATAAGAGCTTGTGTCTGCTTCTCCACAATTTCAGCTCTTTCTCTCCAGTAGATAAGACTTTGACTCAGGGCAATCTTAGACGATTTGAAGCTCAGTATCTGCTTCTGAAGCTGGGAGACAGAATCCCTGAGTTTATTGTTTTCTTTCATCACTTTGCCCAGTGAACTTAGGAGCAACCAACCAGTTTCATTATGTTCCTTGTTCTCCACAGATGGCCAAAGGTATTATGTATAGAGTCTTGAAACTCCTTGCCTCTCACAAGTGGTGGATCAGGAGTGTCAAATGCATTTATTTTGTCTAACTCTCTAAACAGTTCATACTAAGGACTATCAGTGTTCTCCATACTATTATAAATAGAGTGCTTAGCATTTTTGGGTCTAATTGTACTAAGCAACCAGCTCCAGAAACCCCAAAACCAACTAAAAAATTCCATCCTTAATATTCTGTTTCTCTAGAACCACTTCTGGTACCAAAATCTGTATTAGTCAGGATTCTCTGGAGGGACAGAGCTAATAGGATAGATAGATAAATATATATATATAAAGGGGAATTTATTAAGTAGTGTTACCTCATATGGTCACAAGGTCCCACAATAGGCTGTCTGCAAGCTGAGGAGCAAAGAATCCTGTCTGAGTCCCAAAGCTGAAGAACTTGGGACTCCAGTGTTTGAAGGCAGGAAGCATCCAGCATGGGAGAAAAATGTAGGCTGGGAGACTAAGCCAGTCTAACCTTTTCATGTTTTTCTGCCTGCTTCATATTCACTGGCAGCTGATTAGGTGGGGCCCACCCAGATTAAGGGTGGGTCAGCCCTCTCCCCAGCCCACTGACTCAGATGTTAATCTCCTTTGGCAACACCTTCATAGAAGAATACTTAGTATTCTTCAATCCAATCATGTTGACACTCAGTATTAACCATCACAGTTGTTCATGAATTTTCTCCCCCAAGATAATTTTTTTTTTTGAAGACAAGTCTCACTCTATTGCCCAGGCTGGAGTGCAGTGGTGCAAATTTTGCTCACTGCAACGTCTGTCTCCCAGGCTCAGGTGATCCTCCCACCTCATCCTCCCATGTAGCTGGTACTATAGGCATGAACCACCACGCCTGACTAATTTTTTTATTTTTTGTAGAGATGGCATTTCGCCATGTTGTCCAGGCTGGTCTCCACCTCCTGGGCTCAAATGATCTGCCTGCTTCAGCTTCCCAAACTGCAAGGATTACAGGTGTGAGCCACCACACCCAGCCTCCTGCAGGATAACTTTGATATAAAAAAAAAGCCATCATTCTGTTTCAGATCATACTAGATATCTTAATAAATCACAAAATTATTTACTACTTAATTTTGGTGATGTTTACAATTATTCTCAGTACAACTGGAAGCAGCTGCTATAAATCAGTCTGTGCTCAGGATTAAAACATTGTACCATTGTTGAGGTGTGGTCTCACACAGTCACTCAGCTTCCCTGAGTACCAGTTTCCTAAGTGGTGTGGGTTGACCTATATATCCCATTTTACATATGACAATAAAATGTGAGTTCATATGTGAAATCATTTTGAAACTGTAGTCTTCTTTGCCTGCAGAATAACATATTTAACTATTCCTTCCCTGAAGACTTTCTTCTGCCTATCCAGGCCTTATTGTTACTTTCTTACTCTTCTCTTGTTACTTTGTATTGCAATTACATTTTATAGTTCTGTCTCCTCAAATAGACTATGTTGTTCTTGTGGGCTGGAAAGGTAGTCTATTGTTTTCTTAGGGCCTAGAACTATACTTGATGACATGCTTTGGCTGTGTCCCCACCCAAATCTCATCTTGAATTGTAACTCCCACAATTCCCATGTGTCATGGGAGGAACCCGGTGGGAGGTGATTTAATTATGGGGGTGGGTCTTTCCTGCACTGTTCTCGTGAGAGCAAATGAATCTCATGAGATCTGATGGTTTTAAAAAGAAGAGTTTTCCTGTACAAGCTCTCTCTCTCTCTTTGCCTGCTGCCATCCATGTAAGACGTGACTTGTTCCTCCTTGCCTTCTACCATGATTGTGAGGCCTCCCCAGCCATATGGAGTTGTGAGCCCAATAAGCCTCTTTCTTTTGTAAATTGCCCAGTCTCAGGTATGTCTTTATCGGCAGCATGAAAACAGACTAATATACGATATAAAATGAATGAAAGGATAAATGATTAAAATCAGCCATGTCATACCCCTGCCAAACTCCTCTGGTGACCTGAACTGCATTAAAAAGCCAACCTCTAGTTTATTGTCTACAAAGCCACACATAATGAGGTTATACTTTATTATACAGTTATATCTTGCCACTTATTGCCCCATATTGCTCTATACCACTTTCTGTTATTTAACCACACCAAGCAGATACCAAGAATATCCATTCTGTTCACTTCTGGAGAAGATGACTTTTGTGTGTATTATACACGTGTCTTTCCTTCTGAATATTTCTGAATAATGATCCATGGCTCAAACAAGATCAACTCCAGAGGGTATATAATCATGTGATAAGCTTTGAAATATGCTTGGCAACAGAGACTCATGTCATACTTTAAGAACAAGGAAAGCATAATGCCACCCATGTCTTTGAATAATTTGGTTTCTCATCTATAAAATGAATAAATGATTTCCAAAAGGCCTTTCCAACTTTGAGTCCATGATACCAATTCATTTTTGAGGGATAATAATGTTTATCTCTCCTTACTGACTAATTCTGGAAAATATGGAACTAGGGGATAACATTTTACTGTGAATTAATTCTACAGGTCATTTCTTTTTAATGAGTTGACTGAGAAAACCACAGTGCTTGCATTTAACCTCCCAACTGTAATAGGGCTCAACCTATCAGTATTCTCCGTCTTTAGGGCAACTTCAAGGCTCAGAGGAATCAATAATGAAGAGCTTATTAGAAACTAATCTTCTCCTCGGGAGTGAAAATAGTTATGCCAACTGGGGAGAGAATTTCTTGAATGCTTAACAATTTCTTCACAGATATAACTTCTCTTTTTCGTGATCTGGTTGGTACCTATTATGGGGCTATGAACTTTAACCGATTTTGCTTGCATCACCATTTATGAATTTTTTTTTTCTCTCTCTCATAGACACTTGATTAGCCTTAGGCAGTCCTGTGCATCACAGCCTTCTGCAATACCTGCCAGATCATCTACAGAAGCTGTAAGTAATTCACCTCATTCTTAAACCTTTTCTTGCCTGAAATCACTAAGGTTCTTATTTTTGGCGGGGGGCAGGGGTGTAATTGGTTTTTGTTTGTTCTCTTTGAGGTATTCTAGTGTAAAGGAGCTTGTCTTGAGGTAACAAAGACTTGAGTTTCATTGACTAGTTCTGTGACCCTGAGCAACTAGCTCAATTTTCCTGAACTTTGGATTCTAACTTTAAGAATGTCTTGCAGGTAGCTATGGAGGTGAAGCATTCTGCCTAGTTTCTATAGCATATTAAGTACTTGATTTTAGGTTATACATTCATTAGCTCCCCTTCCCACACCCTGCCTTTTCTCATGAAATCTCGGGCTTCATTTCATTTCTTTGAACATTTATCTTATTTTCCCTTTGTTTTCATTTCCAAATAGGTTCTCTATTGCCCTAATTTAACTAGGACTATTGCTATGCTTAATTAAAATATTGAATTTAGGCAATTGGAGTCTGAAGATAAAAAGTCTGAAGATGAGATATAAACTAAAAAGGATATTAAAATAAATTGCTATTTATTTTTCTAACTCGAACCCACCATCTGTCAATATTTTGGGGTTAAGCTATTGTTTCTAATAGGTCTCCTGGTAAAATGAATTTGAGGAGTGTTGACTAATTTGTTCAGAGTCAAAATAAAACATGTAGTCTACTAAGAGGCAATATAATATATGGTTAAGGGCAGAGATGTAGGTGCCAAATGGCTAGGGTCCAAACCCTGGCTCTATCTCCTATTTGGTATGCCTTTGGAAAAGTTACTTAATTGCTTGGCCTCAGTTTTGTCATCTGCCAAGTGGGAATAAAAAATAGTACTTACCTCATAGAGTTATCAGGGAATTAAATTTGTGTGTGTACAAATCTTACATACCCATAGGAGAGCCCTATAACATAATAAGCACCATAAAAGCGCTAGCTGTTATCATCATCATTGTTTCTATTAATGTTTCTATTTTATAATGCCCAATGTAATAGATGAATAAACAATGTATAAAGTTTATCTCTAGCTCACTTGAAAGTCCAAGCTGGTAGGTAGTTAGCAGGGAAGAATATCTCTGCTCCAGGAGGTTGTCCAGAGACCCAGATTTTATTTCTTTTCTTGATCTCCAGTTGCCTAAGGGAGGTACAAATAAACTTTATTTGTAAAGGGCTAAGAGTAAATATCTTAGTCTTGGCAGGTCATATGATTTTTGTCCCAATAACTCAATGCTGATTTTGCTATAGACAATAAGTAAATGAATAGGTGTCATTGCTAGCCCTGCCCCAGCCCAGTGATCTCCCTTAGAGAGGGCTGACTCTGCCACTACAGCCACTCTAGCCTGTGGGAACAGGACAAGAAGAAGTAGAAAGTAACATCTTCTTGAAGCCATCATCTGGGATTTGCACACTTCAGTTGCCACTCATGTCCCATTGGTTAGAACTTAATAATCCCTGGCTGCAAATGACCCTGGAAGATGGAGTCTGTGGCTGGATTGCCATGTTTTAAGATAAAACTTGGGTGATTTTTCTATAAGAGCAGAAAAGAAGAAAGAACATTTGGGAGACAATGAATAATGTCTGCCATCAGTTTGTGTAATACGTTTTTATAATTTTATGTTGTCCTGGCATCCATTTTAAATATAAGTTGAACTTCTCCATACCAAAAGCAGGGTTCAGTCACCATTGACACACAGTTTTCAGTTCTACACCTCTTCCCATTTCCTCTATGTGGCCAATCCAGATATCTGCCTTATCACTTTCTGATGACTACTTCTTTCTGGGACAGCTAGATAAACCTACTTGAGTAACCTTCTGACTTCCACATCCCTAAAGCTGTGCAGTTATGCCATAGTGACTACCTCTCTGTCCCAGCGTGACCTCTTGGAACTCATGCCTACTTGCTTTAAACCCACCAATTAAAACTCCCCTGTTTGGATAATGGCCTAGCCTCAACAAAGGCTTTGGCCCACAGTTCCTATTTCTCCCTGCCTGTTCTGCTTAACCTGTGTATGTGTAGTCTTCAGGTGTGCTGTGTACCACACTCCCCACCCAAGATGTGTGAGTGATAAAATCTTTATTGTCTTCTTGTGTCTTTCCTAATCACTGGAGGGATATTTTCCACCTTGAAGATCCTAAATTAAAAATTTGGCCAGTCTTTAACTTAAATACATATTTTGTTGGAGAAAAAATTAATGGGCAATATGATTGTTTATAGAGAATAGAGGTTGAGTATCCCTTGTCTGAAATGATTGGAACCAGAAGCATTTTAGATTTCAGATTCTTCTAGATTTTGGAATAGTTACATATATGTAATGAGATATCTTGGGAATGGAACCCAAGCCTAACCACAAAGTTCATTCATATTTCATATACACCTTATACACATAGCCTGAAGAGAATTTTATACAGTGTTTTAAGTAACTTTGTGCATGAAACAAAGTTTTGGCTACATTCTGATGGCAATTCATCACATGAGGTCAGGTGTGGAATCTTCTGCTTGTGACATCATGTCAGCGCTGAACATGTTCTGGATTTTGGAACATTTTAGATTTTGTATGTTTGGATTAGGGATACTTAACCTATAATATACAAAGGATTTTATATCCCCTTATAAATATGACATGTTCAACTATTCTGCAAGGTAAGCAAGGCTTAGATGAAATTAAGCCTCAGAAAACTTGAGGTTTTTCTCAAGGTCACATTGCTACTTGTTCATTGAGTCTTGTCTTCAACTTCAAACTCTATGTCCTTCCTCTATAGCTAAACTTCCTTTAAAATGTGAAATTACTTTATTGACTATTATTGGGAAGTTATTAGCCTCTGCTGCTCTGATGAGACCAGGAACAATCATGGAGATAAAAGGTTTTGAATCTATTAGTTTTTTATGGCTGTTGAAACAAGTTACTACAAACTTAGTGGCTTAACAATACAAATGCATTACTATGCAGTTCTGTAGGGCAGAAATCCAACACACGCCTCTGTCAGCTAAAATCAAGATGTTGGCAGGACGTCCTTTTTGGAGTTTCTAAAGAATAATCCATTTCCTTGCCTTTTACATTTTCTAGGGAAAGGCCTGCGTTTCTTGGATTGTGGCTCCTTTCCTTTATCTTCAAAGCTAGCAATGGCAGATTGAGCACTTCCAATATAGTATATTTCTAACCAAGGCAGCTGGGAAAGGTTATGGATTTTAAGGACTCATGTGAAGAGATTGGGACCACTGTATAATTTAGGGTAATTCCCCATTGCACATCCATACCCTTAATCACATCTTCACATTTCATTTGCCATGTGAGATATACTCATTCACATGTTCCTGGAATTAGGGTATGGGCATATTTCAGGGCTATTACTCTGCTCACCATATTGGATAAACTCTTTTCCTCCTCTTTTATTTACTTGGCATCCTAATAATTTTGATCTAAAATTTGATATGACATAGTATTACATTTGGTTCATATATTTTGAAAAATTCTAAAAAAAAATAGGGCAATAAGACAGTCATCATTAGGATATGACTGTAGCCTAAAGAAACTGGAACAAAAAAGAAAACTGTCAGTAGCCGGATGCAGAGTTAGATGTGGTTTCTGCCATACATTTGTATAGTTAATTCTTATAATTTTATTTTATGTGTATAGAGTATACAACCTTATACTGTCAAGCACCAAGCACTAATGAACCATGGCTTTTTAAAAAATCTGAAATGTATTTTACCCTCAGAATATAAAACTGGCCTTGGGTGGATATATGATGAAGAAAATTAAAGTAAATATAGTTGCAAAAAGGCAGTTATAGGCCTATCTCTCTCAATACCCCTCCCAAAGTATAAGCATGCTATTGACCAAAGCCAGATTTTCTATTTGTGGGTTCCCTTAAGATCCTCAGTTCCTAATAGCAGATCAACTGCATGTTTTCCTGCTAAAATGGAAATCTCTCTGTTACATAACAGGGACCTTCAAGCTACGTCTTCTGTACCAAGACCTGCAATCCCAACATAAATCCTGACATTCCTCCTAGTGTAACAAATCTGGACTTTAGATGTAAATTGTATAGAATAATCATTTGGGGTAACTGACCAACTGTAAGTCCAGTAATAAAACCTGTTTATAAATGATGTTCTATTCGGCCAAACATTTACCAACCCTTCAAGGGCAAGCATACAAGAGCATTGGATTTGATACTCGTGCAGGAGATAAATCTGCAGACATCTTCAACATGAACTAAGTTCATAAACAAAACCTTAAAATGTCTTTTATATAGCAGGTGTTCAGCATTCTTGTCTTATTGTATCGGCCTGGAAATCCTCCACAGGAAAAAATAAATTACCTCAGGACACTGTAGTCATAAATTCTTCATGTGAAAGCATGCCTTCAGTTAGAATCTCCTTGGAGCTATTTTTTGTTACTGCAGAATAGTTGGTAAACAGATTCCTTTTAAAAATAATATAATAAACAGAATAATAGACCAGTTTATACCCTAGAGTTTCTTAAAAAATCTGTGTTCGACTGAAGACAACATTTGGCTCCTTGTACTAGGAATGTGTGTGGCACATACAGTTGCATGGTCCTAAAGATCTAGAATTGAGGAGTCATAAATAAACAGGGCTGGAGATGATGTTTGACATTATAGTCAAGTGGTTCTTTAAGTACAGCTATATCTCACAATCACTTGGGGGAATTGTAACATTACAGATTCCTGGGACCTACCACAGGCCCACTGAAAAAGAATCTTTGGGAATAGCATCAGAGGACTGAAATATGCAACAAGAACTGCAAATTACTATTCAAAATCAGTCTCATTTACAACATTTCTGAAAATAGATTATCTGGTTTCTGCTTTGTCCATCTCCATTGATGGGAACTCTCTAGATCCTGAAGCAGCTTTTTCTATTTTCAGAACATATTACTTCTAAACATTATTTTTCAGCATTTAGCATCCAGTCTTAATCTGTTCTATATTCTCATCTGTATCACAGAGGCTAGAAAGTGCTAAAAACTATATTATCAAGATTTCCATGCAACGAAGGATCTGAATGTGACACAAATTTTACTGATGAGATGCACTTGCATGGGATTTAAAGGAAAAATAGAGGAAGAAGCCTCTTGCCTGTTGTCCTGATTGTCAGTGCTAGCCAGCAAGGATGTGATTTTAGTGAACAGCAGATTTTAGTGTTCATTTTTCAGTCTTCTAGATGCCAATAATTAGTGGGTGTAGTGGCCATTTCTTAACCTGATGCTAATCTCTGGATTGCTGATTCGGGTGTCCATTTGCCAGCTTGGCAGTGTTCATAGGCTGCTTCTCGGTGAATGGATAGCTCCAGACCTAGGCCAGCCATGGTGGCCTCAGGGGTAGAACTTTCCTTAGGGGGCCAGTTCTGTGTTGTTTTAGAGACATTGCGAGACACTGGCCAGGAGTCTTTTCCTTCAGCCCTTCCAACAACTTTGTAAACACTTAATTTCCTCTACCAAACCTCATTTATTTTATGAGAAAACTAAAGTTCAGGGAGGAAAATGACTCACTCACAATTATATAATTTGCTAATGGTAGAGACAAGATAAGAATTCAGGCCTCTTAACTCCCAGTCAAGTGCTTTTCTACATGAGCATGCATATCCAAGGGAAAGAAAATTCATGCAGGGTTTTCTGCATCATTTTGTAAGTGTGAAAGCTGTATGTGTGTATGTGTGTGCATGCATACCTGTACTCAGAGCATCCATATGTATCAGAGAGTTGGAGGAAGTAAATTCAAGTTTGTGTGACTGCACCTTGGTGTCTAATGCCTTTATATGGCAGTTACCACATATAAATAAAAAATTATCCACTACCTTCTCCTTTAATAGAATGATGTCATAGTGATAGAGCATTCAACCCTCAACATCTTAGAGTAACACATCTATCACATTGATATTCTTTTTATGCATATACCAGGATAGCAAAAGGGCAATGGGAAAGCAAGTAAAGTTTGAGCCTGAAGGAACGTCAGAGAAAATACAAGAAAATTCAGATCCATCAGTGACCTCTAGCACCTGTTTCATCACTTTCCCTTGACCCGTCTGTCTTCCCAAAGCAAAATTGATAGGTGAAATCAAGCTTCCATGTTTTCCAGTCGTTTATATAAATAAATTCTTAAATCCTGTAATTAAATAGAGTTATATGAGACACCTGGGATAACTTTTTCAAGAAAAGATTGGCAGATCTGGAAGGTGAGAAAAAGTAAATACCCCAGAGTAGAGGAAAAGCATGGATCAATAAAAGAAAGAAAAAACATCATGAAAAATGTTGAGTGGAAATGATTCCACTAATAATCTTTATAAGCACTTGCCCAATCTACTTTTATCAAGCATCTGTTATGTACAAGACACTGTAAACATAGATATTATGTGAGCTGTTGTTCAATGCTTTTGCAGAAATCAAAAGTTTCTGATGGTTCTGTAAAATATCTACTAACCCTAGTCAAGAAGAAAATCTGGCTGATGGGGCAAAAATATTCCTGAGTGAACCTGTGACAGTACCTATTGATCACAGCTTATTTTCTGAAGGACTTACAAAGTCTCTGTTTAATTATTCAGTATAGAATTTGGCCTGAGATCAACAATAAAATATCAGTGAATGATTTGCTAAATATTTGTTCTACTTTTGTAAAATCGGATAATTGTCTACTCTCTATCTTTTGTTACTTGTCTAATTCTATGTGAGTTTTAAAGTTTTGTTAGCATAGCTGGGTG
This sequence comes from Homo sapiens, assembly GCF_000001405.40. Taxonomy (NCBI): domain Eukaryota; kingdom Metazoa; phylum Chordata; class Mammalia; order Primates; family Hominidae; genus Homo; species Homo sapiens. The sequence goes on along the minus strand of NC_000010.11, from coordinate 90,536,651 downwards.
CGGTGGCTCACGCCTGTAATCCCAGCACTTTGGGAGGCCGAGGCGGGTGGATCACAAGGTCAGGAGATTGAGACCATCCTGGCTAACACGGTGAAACTCCGTCTCTACTAAAAAATACAAAAAAATTAGCCGGGCGTGGTGGCAGGCTCCTGTAGTCCCAGCTGCTCTGGAGGCTGAGGCAGGAGAATGGAGTGAACCTGGGAGGTGGAACTTGCAGTGAGCCGAGATCGTGCCACTGCACTCCAGCCTGGGCGACAGAGTGAGACTGTGTCTCAAAAAAAAAAAAAAAAAAAAGTTAGCATGGATCAATAATTTAATTTACAAGTTTTCTCAGTACCCTGATTTGTAGTTAAGTAATTAATAAAACATGTATTTACTGAGGACTTTGTGCTAGGATAGGCACTGAGACATCAACAATGAATAGAATATAATGCTTATGCTCAAAGGTTTTACCTTCTGAGTGGTAATTAATTACAATAAATTGTGATTTTACACCAAGACAGCATAGCGTGTTGTAGGTGTCTACAGCAGATGAAAGTCCTCCTAGAAGCGGTGATAGGGTCACCTAGGCTGTATCTCACGTAAAGCAACTAAGAGGTCTTTTATATCCTTCTCACTTCAGTGTCCTTACGGCAGCACTAGTTCAGCCTTTTTTCACAGACTGTCATGCTTTAAAGTAGAGAAAAGCAAAGTAGTAAGGGGGAGAACTATTATTTTTTTTGTATCTAACCCTGTATTGTTTTAATCAGTGGTCTATCACATTTTCATCTTCTTGCTCAGAATATAGTTTAACTCTCCTTGTTACTTCTTTTATGTTGTTCTAAACATTTTTATAAGCCTTGATCATTAGTGAGTCTAACATTCTTGATATTTGGTACTGGCCTGAGCTATTCCTTTATAGTCATAGTCAACAGATCCTTCCTTCCTTCCTTCCTTCCTTCTCTCTCTTTTTCTTTCTTTCTTTCTTTCTTTCTTTCTTTCTTTCTTTCTTTCTTTCTTTCTTTCTTTCTTCCTTCTTTCTCTCTTCTCTCTCTCTCTCTCTCTTTCGCATCAAATGTGTAGGGATAGTCACTTCTCTGGAACAAAGTTCTTGCCCTCAAGGAGCTGACATTGTATGAGAACAGACAAAACCAAAGTAAACAATTAAAATATATGATATAATAGATGGCAGAAAGTGCTATGGAGATAAATAAAGTAAGGAGTAGACTTGTCAAGGGTGGAGGTTGTAATTTTAAACAGACGGCATCAGTTAGGTGGCATTTGAGAATGGCCTGGAGGAGGTGAAATGTTTCATTCATCTCATTTTTATTCTTGTTTCTATGCTCTTTCTTTCATCTTTTATACAGAACTAAAAACATTAAAAATGAATCATTGTTTATTACAAAATTTATCATAGAAAACAATAAAAACTACATATGAAAAAAAGAAAAATATGGAATACATCTATATTCCCATGATGTACATTGTTGATATGTTGTGTGTGTGCCTGTGTGTGCTCGTGTATAGCTGTGTACGTTCACAAAGATGGGATCAAGTATACTCTTTTAAACTGTGGTTTTCAATGACATTATGCCATGGACATCTACAACCTCATTTTGAATGATTAAACAAACTCATTTTGAATGATTAAACCATCACTTATTGTTGGAAATTAAAAATAACCCACAGAGGAGCATCCTTGTAATTACATCTTTGAATATAGTCATCACCGAATATTTTCTTAGGAGAAATCTATAAAATAGAATTGTTATGACAAATATATATTTCAACAGCTAATATGTATTTTTTAAATTGCTCTTCAAGAGATTAAAAAGAGCCCAGAGTTGAAAGATGGTGCTTAGGAGAAATGTGGACACGTGGGCCTGGGGACTCATATGGCAGTTGGTATGGGCTCCACTTCAAAGTGAAGATGAACCTTTCAGTGATCTCATTCCAAATTGAGCTGGTGGGTGGAGGCTGAGGACATAGATATAGATAGCTAAGAAGGCTCAGGCAAATAACTGGAATCAAGGAGGAACAAGCAGTTTCTCCTGTACTTTCTACTGTGAGCAAGACATGTTTCCCTTCATGAGTGTCCTTTTCATGGTTTTAGGAGATGGACATAATGGTCATGAAAGCTTATTTAAATATTTGTAATTACAGATGTACATATCCAAAGGACAAAAATCTCCATGTCAAAATACCTCGCTTGAATTAAATTGTTTTCCTTAAGCAAATGTAATTTTGAATACACTTAGCTTTATGATGACTTAAAAATGATTTGTTACTTGGAATTCCTTTGTCATAAAGATGTGAGTAATTTGTGCCTGTTAAGCCTTAACAATGATTTACTTAAAAAGTCTATAATTAGAAATTCATATAGTCCTTAAAATTTCAAACCAAAGCTAGTCTGAAAGACTGATCTTTAGAAATATGGTAAGTCCGTATCTCCTTTCTACTCGGCTAATCGCTGAGCAGAGGTGTGGGGAGGCTTTGATGGGAAGAAGGTTTGTTGTCATGGTCACCACTGATGAATTCTTATTTCTGAGGACCTCACAAACAGGAAACTGACAACTTTAAAATGACCTTTTGTAAGTGCCTTTAAGATTAGAGATGCTTTTAGCTTTGTCTGAAGCTTATATGTGAAATTGCCTTAGATTAAAGGCTTTTTGGCATTCTACTCATGACCTCCTGCACCTCCTCCCCACCTCTACCACTTGTTAGGATTTCTGGAGTTCAGATATTTCTTTGGAGACTGATATTGGGGAATGGGATTTATACAGATTCAATGAAAGCTACAGCCACTAATATGCACTCTGAACAGACATGAACTGTAACACTCATACTGAAGTGGGTTCTCTCCTGGCTGTAGTGTGTTAGAGTGAAATGAGCATTTAGGTCAGAGAAAATCTGGATTCAAATCTAGATTCACCATTTACTAAGTTGGCAACTTACTTATTCTCTCTGAGCCTCTATTTCCCACAAACTACCTGGCAAATGTGGGTAATAATACTTACCTGGTAACACTGTTGGAAGAATGAAAAGAAATGATTATACAAAGCCTCTGTCTCATAGTAGTTTCCTTTCTATTCCAACAAACATGGCTTAGAAGACATAAATATAGAAAAACAGTAAGATATACATTTTTCTTCAGGATCAGAAATTGTGCTTTCTAGAAAATTTTTTTGTCTTTCAGGATCTACCCCTAAAGCATTTGATTTTCCTATTTATAGTAATGTATCAATTATAAAACTTGCAAAGTTTTAATCTAGTGAGATGGATTTGATAACTGTCGTGACTGCTTAGATAAAAAATATTAACTGAGACAGCAATTCTGAGATTTTAAAAGAGCTAAACTGCAATGAAAGTGCACTAATGTAAAGATAATGTAGCTGTTGTTGCTAACTAGCATCGTAATCTGGTTTGCCACCTGTACTAATTAAAAAGATAGTGGTTCCAGCCAGTGAAATGGTATTCTTTCTTAGATGTCGGTAAAAGCTTAAGGAGACAAGAATTAAAAGGTCATAAAAATGTCCTAAGGGAACTAAATTAAAATAACACTTTACTAAAAATTAGAAAAAAAGTAGCCAAGAATCTCCTATTTTTAGTGATTTCTGTAAGTGTGTGTATGTGTTTGTGGTTGTGTTGTGTAGGCATTAGCATCTTTTCATGTTTATACATGAAAAGGGTGTTTATATACTGCATAGTCGTTAAGAACCCAGATTTTACGGTCAGTTTGGCTTCTAAACTCAGCTTTGCCATCAACTAAACATGCAGCCTTAGTGAAGTTTAACTTTCTGAGCTGCAGTTCCTTCACCTTTAAAGTAGGTATGCTAATAAAATCTAACTCACAAGAGATTTGGAAAATATAAATGAGCTAATGCATGTGAAGTGCCTAGCACATAGAAAATACTCAAATTTATTAGTAATTAGTCCCATTGTCATTAAATTGTCATTATTATTAAGGTGTGAGCATGGGCCAGTGTCAGCAATCTGACTTGTTAGTCAGATGTTAGTGCTGACACAGGCTAACATTATCCCGACTCTTTTGAAAACATTTTTCCCCTCTAAACTTCAAGTTCCTCAACAAGAAAATTCAAGGGGTGGTCAAGATAGTCTCTAAAACATCTTCCAGTTTCAAATGTTGCCCTATAATGTAAGAAATGTTACATGAATTTTTATATTTATTCTGTTAGATAATATGAGTTTTATGTTACTGAAATTTGGGCCTGTTGAGGTGAGCTTTTCTTTCTGTATTGTTTTTTCTTGACATTGTGTGTATGTTTGTGTATGTGAAGCCGCCATTGCAAAATTATAACTGAGGAAATTATGACAGTGAGAGAGATCACACCTAACCGACTCCATCTTGCTTGTAATCCTTAAACTGTCCTTGTTCATTCCTGAGTGTAGGCTGAATTAACTTTGGGAAGGAATTCAGTTCATGGTTTGATTCTGAACAAAACTGATAACAGCCCTTTCCCGAAAAGACCCCCTTCTTGCCTGGGGTCCAGTCTGCCTTTGCAGGACTAACAAATTAGCTACAAGAGTAGAAATTACAATTTAGGGGTCTTGCAGCCTCTGGCTCCAACAGTCTGAACATCCCCAAATTTCTCCTGGGGATAACATCACTATTGTAAAACCTAAGATCAGTGCTTGAGATATTTTGCAGACCTTACACTTGATGGATCAGCTGACACCACCTAGACCGGTAATTTGGCCCAAGGAGTTCTGCTATTGCACCCAGGAACAGAAAACATTAAGAAAACCTAACTTCGACCCCCTGTGATTCCATCTCCAACCTGACCAATCAGCACTCTCCACTTCCCAAGCCCCTACCTGCCAAATTATCTTTAAAAACTCTGATCCGTGCATGCTCAGGGAGACTGATTTGAGTAACGATAAAACTCCCCATCTCCCACACAGCCTGCTCTGTGTGAATTACTCTTTCTCCATTGCAATTCCCCTGTCTTGATAAATGGGCTCTGTCTAGGCAATGGGCAAGGTGAACTCATTGGGCACTTACATATGGATATGCATCCATGTGTTCATCCTTTGCCTTAGACAGAAAGGTATGGGGCTATCAATAACCAACTGTAGAATATCAGTTTTAATCATAAAAATTGTATGAAGAAGCCACTCTATTGGAAACAACAATTCCTTATTCTTTCAGGAGATTAAAAAGGCAAAGGTTTGGATACAAAGTACAGGTAGGAAAGTTTGTGTGAAAAGTGATAGATGGTTTATTCGTCCGTTTACACACTATTTTTTTTTTTAAGTGGAGTCTCGCTCTGTCACCCAGGCTGGAGTGCAGTGGCCCGATCTCAGCTCATTGCAAGCTCTGCCTCCCGGGTTCACGCCATTTTCCTCCCTCAGTCTTCCCAGTAGCTGGGACTACAGGCGCCCGCCACCACGCCCGGCTAATTTTTTTGTATTCTTAGTAGAGACGGGGTTTTACCATATTAGCCAGGATGGTCTCAATCTCCTGACCTTGTGATCAACCCGCCTTGGCCTCCCAAAGTGCTGGGATTACAGGCGTGAGCCCCCATGCCCAGCCTACACACTATTATAAATGCCTGAGACTGGGTAATTTATAAAGGAAAGAAGTTCAGTTGGCTCACAGTTCCACATGGCTGGGGGGGAGCTCAGGAAACTTAGAATCATGATGGAATGTGAAGGGGAAGCAGGCACCTTCTTCATAAGGTGGCAGAAGAGAGAGAGTGTGTGAAGGAGGAACTGTCAAACACATGAAACCATCAAAACTCATGACAACTCACTCACTATCATGAGAACAGCATGAGGGAAATGTCCCCCATGATCCAATCACCTCCCACCACGTCCCTCCCTTGACATGTGGAGATTATAAGGATTACAATTCAAGATGAGAATTGGATGGGGGCACAGAGCCAAACTACATCAGTTGGGCACACTGACAAACATGCTGAGGCTGAGGAGCTTTGTCTCAGCTGTGATACTTTTTCATTTAACATTTCCCAGTTGTTTAATCTTAGTGAGCTTTCACCTTCAGCTTCTGGAAGGCATGAGGTGTCTCGGTCATGGGATCCTTGAGATAAGAGGGAAAACAGGAAACAAATGGTTTTAGTGGGAAGCATTTCATAGACAACATTTTTTTCTCAAACATAAATTGTTTCGTTTTACTTTTACTTTTTAAATGTTTAATAACTCCTCTCAGAAACATCTTTCTTTGAACCTTCCATACGTGAATGAGATAAAATTTTAAAAATGAACAAACACTTACTGAACATTGTCCTATGCTGTTTGACCAACATAATCTCATCATATACATAAGCATTTTAAATAATATGGAAAAATGGAGACTTTGCCCAAGAAAAGGTAGTAATTGTGTTTAACATGCTATGTAGTTCAATAAGACAGTGACCTTGGGGTCCCTGTGCTGTGTCTGTGTGTGTGTGTGTGTGTGTGTGCATGTGTGTGCATCTGTAAAGTTTTTTCTAGGATCATTCCTCATTTATCTGTGTTTCAACAGCAAATGTAGAAAATATTATTATTATTAATCTGTGCATGTCCAACTCTATCAATTTCAAAGTAGAAGAGCTCCAAATCTAGATAATAATGCTTGCTTCTGGGTTTGTGGGTTCATATGAAGAAAATTAGTAAAAGTCTGTATACCTTGTTGATCTGCATAGAGAACTTCCACAATGTGTTCTACCTTTCCTCTAGTTCTTTCCTTCTGGAAAGTTCTTTCCTTAAAACAGATAAAAGAAACTTTTAGGCTTTTCTAATTTTTGGTTCTGAAGGCAGAACACCTGGGTTTAAATCCAAGCTTTATTGCTTACTAGGTTTGAAATTTGGGGTAGGTCATTTCTTTGTGCCTCAATGTAATTACCTGTAAAAGGATAATTGTAGGAATTGCTCTACTGGGTTATGGTGAGGGTTAAACAAGTAATACCTACAGAGTGCTAAGAAAAGTTCCTGGAACATGGTGCATGCTTACTGAATGTTATGTTACTACGCATGCGTACACACCACACCCACACACACACACACACACAGTGCAACCTTTACTATATCTGAAGGCCCCCTTTTCTCATCAAGGTTTCATTTAGCCACACAGAATATTAAATAAGATCACTGTCTCTCCTTGGGTAAAGCTTCCATGTGTTTTATATTATTTAAAATACTTAACTATTTGATGAGATTTTGTTGTTCAATGACCTTAGTACAATGATCAATAAGTGTGCATTCATTCTTTTCATTATATCTCATTCACATCTGCAACATTCAAAGAAAGATATTTCTAAAAACAGTTATTTCAAATATAAATTAGTAGATTAAAGGTAAAAAATTGCAGCAAAATAGAATGTTCTGTTTTTATGTGATTCAGTTTTGTCCGAAACAACTTTGAGAGTTACCTAAATGCACTTTGTTTACTCTCATTACCTTCCTTGCTGTCATGGTGTATGTTCCAAGTCAAATCAAGACCAATGTGTCTTGTAAGCAGAGTAATGGCTGTCTAAAGATGTCAATTTCCTAACCCCCAGAACCTGTGAATATGTTACCTTCAATGACAAAAGGGACTTTTCAGATGAAATTAAATTGAGAACTTTGAGATGAGATGTTATCTGGGATTATCTTAGGAGGTGCCCAATGTAACTACAAGCCACTATAAGAGGGATGGGGGAGGGTCAGAGTCATAGAGAGATTTGAAGATGCTACAGTGCTGGCTTTGAAGATGGAAGAAGAGGCCATGAGCTAAGGCATGTAAATGGCCCCTAGCAGCTGGGTGGAAGAAGATAATGGATTTTCCTCTGGAGCATCCAGAAGGAACACAGCCCTGAAAACACCTCAATTTTAGGACTTCTGACCTCCAGAGTTTGTAAGATAATAAATGTGTGTTGTTTTAAGCCATGAACTTTCTGGTAATTTGTTAACAGTGGCAATAGGAAACTAATATGATGTGGTAGTAGCTTTGTTCACCTATATTAAAAGGGATATTTTAGAGGTTCTGTAAGTATTATGAAGAACAAAATTTTATTGTCAATAATTGCATTTTGTGGGTCATTTAATGTCTCAGAAGATTTTTATTCTTACAACTTTTTCATCTTCCCTGGGGCAGTTTTATGAAGCTATTTATTTTTTGGATGACATGTCATGTTTAAAAGTCTTTTTCCCCAAAGCATAAAATGGTCTAAAGTGTCCCTTTTTATGGTCTAAAGTGTCCCCATTTTCTCATAATACTAAAGTAAAAATTTGCATTTACTAGAAATAATATATTTTTACTAGTCTCCAGAGATGAGATCATACACTAAATAATACCCTGGCTTTGAAAGGGACAACAGTCTATGATAAAATACAGGAATTGCTTTCTTATGGACCATTCCTTTTGGATTTCCACACAGGGCTCATGTGTTCCTATTTGCCTGAGCATAAAGGAACCACCCATTTTGTTGACAGGGCAGTGTAGGGCATCAAACTGTAGCACCTGAAGCACATATTTGAATGATGGCTTCGCATTGAAAATTTAACTCTATGACATTGTTATTCAGTTACCATCTGTATTCAGGTACCAGGCTACCTAGATAAACAGAGAGTTTTAATTTAATGCATATTATTAACCATTTCACATTCCTTTCCTATCGGATCATGACAAAACCATTTGCAAACTAGACTTAACTAAAGCTACTGAAACAGAAAAACTGGATATATACTCTTTGTCATATTCTTATTTTTCTTCTGCTTTTAAAAATCTCAGAACACAAATCCTTCTTCCTTTTTGTTTCATCTTTGGCCTCATGTTGTCAACATAAACATAGAGTTTAAAGTTTCAACCTTGGTCTATACAAGGCTGTAAGTTCAACACGCTGACAGAGGTCCAGTAGGCAACACATATAAGTGTTGCAGGCAGTGACCAGGAGTGGTGAACTGGAGCCCACAGACTCTCTCAAAGGGATTAACTGCTCCCCAGCCCCAGACAATTTTTGGCATGTTAAAACATAGGTATAGTATTTCCAGAAATCTTTTTAAAGAGAAGCCAGAAATCAGTATTTTTATTTGATATCTCTCAATTTTTAAACTCTGTAGAACAGACCTAACTTTGTTAGCATGGATTCATCCTGTTTCTATAATATTATAAGCTGACCTTAGATTATAATAGTTCTATTTCATGTTTACTGTATATATATATATAATATTTTGTATTTTCTCTTTTTTTTCCTCCTGGGGCTTCATTTATTTATTAATTCTTGGAGGAGTAGAGGGACTATGGAAACCCCTAGAAATGTCACTTAAGGAGAATCTGGGGGCATTCGGGAATAATTATTTGAAAAATTGCAACTAGAGAGAAGGAGGAGTAAAATGGTTGACGAGAAGCTTTCACTAATTATCCTTCCTGCTGGAACACCAAACTGAACAACTATCCACGTAAGAAAGCACCTTCATAAGAACCAAAAATCAGATGAGTGATCATAGTACCTGGTTTTAACTTCATATCACGGAAAGAGGTACTGAAGAGGGCAGGAAAGACAGTCTTAAATTGCTAATACCACCCCCCACCCCCTCAGCTCCCAGCAGCAGCCACATAGTGCGGAGAAAGGATCTGTGTGCTTCAGGGAGGGAGAGTACAGGATTTGTGGGACTATGCATTGAAAGTCAGTGCTGTCTTGTCACAGCAGAAAGCAACATTTGGCAGAATTCAGCTGGCACCCACTGAGGGAGCATTTAGAACAGCTCTAGCCAGAGGGGAATTGCCTATCCCAGTGGCTGGAATCTGAGTTCTGGCAAGCCCCACTACTGTAGGCTTAAGGGCTCTGGGGTCCTAAGTAAACTTGTAAGGCAATCTAGGCCAGAAGGACTAAAAGTTTTGGGCAAGTTCTGATGTTGTGCTGGGCTCTGAGCCAGTGGACTTGAGGGACACATGACCTAGTGAGACACCATCTGGAGTGGCCAAGGGAGTGTTTGCTCCAGCCCTCCCATAGCCCCAGGTAGCACAGCTCACAGCTCTGGTACAGATACCTCTCCACTTGAAGAGATGAGAGGGAAGACTAAAGAGGACTTTGCCTTGCAACTTACATACCAGCTCAGCCACAATAGGATAGGGTACTGGAAGAGTCATGAAGCCTCCACTTCAGGACCCAGCTCCTGGATGACATTTCTAGACATACCCTGGGCCAGAAGGGAACCTCCTGCCTTGAAGGGAAGGACCCAGACATGGAAGAATCCATCACCTGCTGACTAAAGAGTTCCTTGAGCACCAAATAACCAGCAGTGATACCCAGGCAGTACTCACCATGGGCCTTAGGTGAGACTCAGAGATGTGCTAGCTTCAGGTGTGACCCAGCGTGTTCCCTGTAGTGGTGGCTACATAGAGGAGACTTCTTCTGCTTGAGGAAAGGAGAGGGAAGAGTGAAGGGGAATTTGTTTTGCAGCTTAGGTACCAGGTTGGCCACAGTGGGGTAGAGCACCAAGCAGTCTCTTGGGGTCCCCTGTTCCAGGACTTGAGTCTTGGATGGCATTTCTGGATCTGCCTTGGGCCAAAGAGAGCCTACTTCCATGAAGAGAGAGCCCCAGGTCTGGCAGCATTCACCATAAGCTGACTAAAGAACCCTTGGACATTGCGTGAACATTGGCTAGCCAGGCAATATTTGCCATGGCCCTGGGGCAGTGATGGCTATTGGCAGAGACTCCTCTCCTCCTTGAAGTGGAGGGAATAGTTGGAAGGCCTTTGTCCAGTGGCTTGGGTGCCAGCTGGGATGCAGTAGAATAGAGCACTAGATAGATTCCTAAGGTTTCTGATTCCAGGCCCTGGCTCCTGGATGGCATTTCTGGATCCATCTGAGATCAGGAGAACTCACTGCCCTGAAGGGAAGGACATAAGCCTGGCTGGCTTTGTCACATGCTAATTGTAGAACCCTAGGACCTTGAATGAACATAGGCAGTAGCCAGGCAGTGGTGACAACCAGTACTGTGCTAGCTTCAAGTCAGACCCAGTCCCAGCCACAGTAATCACCGGGGTGCTTGTGTCATCCCTTACCCAGCTCCAGACAGCTCAGCACAGAGAGAGAGAGAGAGAGAGAGAGAGAGAGGGAGAGAGAGAGACTGACTCAATTTGTTTGGAGACAAGTAATGGAAGATAACAAGATTCTCTGTCTAGTAATTCAGAGAATTATTCTGGAAGTTATTTAAGACCACCAAGGTGGTAACTCTACAAGTCTGCAAGAGCCACAGCATTACTGAGCTTGGTGTACCCTATAATACAGATATGACTGCAGATACCAAAACTTAGATTAAAACACCCAAGTTCCTCTGAATATTTGGAAAATCTTTTTTTCCAAATATTCCAAGAAGAACAGGTACAAAAAGGCCTAACTCTGAAGACTACAATAAATACTTAACTCTTCAATGCCTAGACACTGGCAAACATCCACAAGCATCAAGACCACCCAGGAAAACATGAACTCATCAAATAAACTAAATAAGGTACCAGTTCTGGTACCTTATTTAGGGGATCCAGCTCTGGAGAGACAGAGACAGGTGATGTTTCAGACAGAGAATTCAAAATAACTATATTAAGGAAACACAACAAAATTCAAGATAACACAGAGAAGGAATTTGTAATCATATTAGCTAAATTTAACAAAGAGATTATAATAATTTGGAAGAACCAAGTGAAATTCTGGAGTGGAAAAATGCAATTTCAATACTGAATAGTGCATCAGAGTCCTTTAATAGCAAAATTGATCAAGCAGAAGAAAGAAACAGTGAGCTTGAAGACAGCCTATTTGAAAATACACAGAGGAGACAAAAGAAAAAAAAAACAATGAAGCACATGAACAAGATCTAAAAAAATAGCCTCAAAAGGGCAAATCTAAGAGTTACTGATCTTAGAGTGGAGGTAAGAGAAAGAGATAGGTGTGGAAACTGTATTCAAAGGAATAATAAGATAACTTCTCAAACCTAGAAAATGGTATTGGTATTCAAGTACAAGAGGGTTGTGAAACACCAGGCAGCTTTAACCCAAATAAAACTACTTTGTGACATGTAATAATCAAACTCCCAAAGTTTAAGGATAAAGAAAGTATCCCAAAAGCAGCAAGATAAACAAATAACATACAATGAGCGCCAATATGTCTAGCAGCAGACTTTTCAGTGGAAACCTTACAGGGCAAGAGAGAATGGCATGACATATTTCAAGTGCTGAAGGTGAAGAATGTTCACCCTAGAATAGCATATTCAGTAAAAATATCCTTCTAACATGAAGGATAAATAAAGACTTTCCCAGACAAACAAAAATGGAGGGATCTTATCAACATCAGACGTATCCTCCAAGATAAGCTAAAGGAAGTTCTTCAGTCTGAAAGAAAAGGATGTTAATGAGCAATAAAAAATCATCTGAAGTAAAAACTCACTGGTAATAGTAAACAGAAAAACACAGAATAGTATACATTATAATTGTGGTGTGTAAACTACTCATATTTTGAGTAGAAAGACTAAAAGATGAACCAATGAAGATAATAACTACAACTTTTCAAGATATAGACAGGACCAGACATAAACAGAAACAATAAAAAGTTAAAAAGTGAGAGGATAAGGTTAAAGTGTAGAGTATTTATTAGTTTTCATTTTGCATGTTTGTTTATGTAATCAGTTTTAAGTCATCATCAGTTTAAAATAATGGGTTATAAGATAGTATTGCAAGCCTTATGGTAACCTCAAATCTAAAAACATACAACAGCTACAAAAAAAGCAAGAAATTAAAACACACCGCCAGAGAAAATCACCTTCACTAAAACAAAGATAGGAAGGAAGGAAACAAGATAAGACCACAAAATAACCAGGAAATGCATAGCAAAATGACAGGAGTGAGTCCTTATTTATCAATAATAACATTGAATATAAATGGACTAAACTCTCCAATCAAAAGACACAGAGTGGCTGAATGGATAAAATTAAAAAAAAAAAAAAAAACCGAGCGCAATGATCTGTTCCATACAAGAAACACATTTCCCCTACAAAGACATACAAAGACTAAAAATAAAGGAATGGAAAAAGACATTCCATGCAAATGGAAAATGAAAAAGAGCAGGAGTAGTGATATTTATATCAGACAAAATAGATTTCAAGAAAAAACCCATCAAAGCAAAAAATAAAGTCATTATATAAAGACAAAAGAGTCAATTCACCAAGGGGATTTTATAATTATAAATATATATGTGCTCAACAATGGAGTGCCAAGATATATAAAGCAATTACTGTTAGAGCTAAGAGACAGATACACCCCAATACAATAATAGCTGGCCACTTTCAGCACTGGCCACACCATTGAGATAGAAAATCAACAAAGAAACACTAGAGTTTATGAGCACTATAGACCAAATGGACCTAATAGGTTTTTATAAAACATTTCATCCAATGGCTGAAGAATATATATTCTTCTCTTCGTTGCATGGGTCATTCTCAAGGAGATACCATATGTTGGGCCACAAAATAAGTCTTAAAATTTTAAAAACATTAAAACTATTTCAAGTATATTCTCTGAACACAATGGAATAAAACTACAAATTAATAACAAGAGAAATTTGGGAAATTACATAAACACACTGAAATTAAACAATATGCTCTTGAAACAAATGACAGTGAAACATAACATACCAAAACCAATGGATACAATGAAAGCAGCACTAAGAGGGAAGTTTATAGCTAAAGCACCTACATCAAAAAAGTAGAAAAATGTCAAATAAAAAACTTAATGTTGGATCTTAAAGAACTAGAAAATCAAGAGCAAACTAAACCCAAAATTTGTAAAAGAAAAAAAATAACACGAGATCAGAGCAGAAAATAACTCAAATTGAAATAGAGAAACCAATACAAATGATCAATAAAACAAAAGCTGGATTTTTGGAAAGATAATTAAAACTGACAAACCTTTAGTATACTAAGAAAAAAACAAGAAAAGACCCAAATAAAATCAGGGATAAAAAAGAGACACTAAAACTGTTACTACAGAAATTTTATTAGAGGCTACTATGAAGAACTATATGCCAATAAATTGGAAAACCTAGAAAAAATGGATAAATTCCTATATAAAGCCTATCAGGATTTTACCACAAAAATGTCCAAAATGTGAACAAATAAGAAGTAATTAGATTAAAGCCATAACAAAAAGCCTCTCAGCAAAGAAAAGCTCAGACCTAATGGCTTCACTGCTGAATTTTACTAAATATTTAAAGAAGAACTAACAGCAGTCTTACTCAAACTTCTGATAAATAGAGGAAGAGGGAATACTTCCAAACTAATTCTATGAGGCCAGTATTACCCTGATACCAGAACCAAAGACACATCAAAAAACAAACAAACAAAATAAAACAAAACAGGCCAGGCAGGTGGCTCACACTTTGTAATCCCAGCACTTTGGGAGGCTGAGGAGGGTGGATCACGAGGTCAGGAGATCAAGACCATCCTGGCTAACACGGTGAAACACAGTCTCTACTAAAAAATAGAAAAAATTAGCCAGGCGTGGTGGCGGGCGCCTGTAGTCCCAGCTGCTCGGGAGGCTGAGGCAGGAGAACGGCATGAATCCGGGAGGCGGAGCTTGCAGTGAGCCAAGATTGTGCCACTGCACTCCAGCCTGGGTGACAGAGTGAGACTCTGTCTCAAAAAAAAAAAAAACCAACAAAACAAAACAAAACTACAGGCAAATTTTCCTGATGAACATTGATGCAAAAGTTCTCAAGAAAATGTTAGCAAACTGAATTCAACAACCCATTAGAAAAATCATTTGGCCAGGCATGGTGGCTCATGACTGTAGTCCTAGCATTTTCAGAGTCCAAGGTTAGAAGATTGCTTGAGTGCAGGAGTTCAAGACCAGCCTGAGCAACAAACTGAGACCCTGCTTCTACTAAACAAACAAACAAACAAAAAATAGCTGGGCATGGTGATATGTGCCTTTGCTACTAGCTACGTAGGAGGCTGAGGAAGGAGGATCACTTGAGCTCAAAAGGTTGAAGCTTCAGTGAGCTGTAATTGTGTGTGGCACTCCAGTCTGGGTAACAGAGTAAGACCCTGTCTCAAAAAGAAAAAAAAAGATCATTCATTATAACCAAGTGGGATTTATCCCTGGAATGCAATGATGTTTCAACATGCTCAAATCAATCAATGTGATATATCACATCAACAGAATGAAGGATAAACACCATATAATCATTTCAATTGAGGCTGAAAAAGCATTTGATAAAGTTCAATATTCCTACATGATAAAAACCCTAAAAAAACTTGATATAAAAGGACTGTATCTCAACTAAATAAAAACCATATTTGGCAGACCCACAGTTAGTATTACTGAATAGGGAAAGACTGAAATCTTTTTCTCTAAGATCTGGAACACAAAGATGTCCACTTTCACCATTGCTCTTCAGTATAGTATTTGAAGTCCTAGCTGGAGCAATCAGACAAAGGAAAAAAAAAAGGGCAACTATATTGGAAATAAAGAAGTCAAAATATTCTTGTTTGCAGATGATATAATCTTATAATTGGAAAAACATAAAGACTCAAAAAAACTATTAGAACTGATAAATTCAGTAAAGTTGCAGGATACAAAATCAACATAGAAAATTATCAACATTTTCATATGGCAAAAGTGAACAATCTGGAAAAGAAACCAAGGAAGTAATCCTGTTTACAATAGGTACAAATAAAATAAAATGGCTAGAACTAAACTTCACTGAAGAAGTGAAAGATCTTTCCAACAAAAACTGTAAAACATTGATTAAAGAAATGGAAGCAAATGCACCAAAAGGAAAGATATTTAATGTTCACGGATTGGAAGAATCAATATTGTTAAAATGTCCATACTGCCTGAAACAACCTACAGAGTCAATGTAGTCCCTATCGAAATGCCAATGACATTTTTATACTGAGATGAAAAAACGCAATCTTAAGATTTATATGAAACCACAAAAGATTTAGAATAGCCAAAGCTTTCTTGAGCAAAAAGAATAAAACTGGGGGAGTCCCATTACCTTACTTTAAATTATACTATAGAGGTATAGTAACGAAAAAAGCATGATACTGGCATAAAAACAGATGCATAGTACAATGGAAGAGAATAAGGGACCAGAAACCAATCCACACCCCTACAGTGAACTTATTTTTGACAAAGGTACCAAGAACACCCCAGTTAAAATGGCTTATATCCAAATAACAGGAAATAACAAATGCTGGTGAGGATGTGGAGAAAAAGAAATCTTCATACACTGTTGGTAGGAATGTAAATTAGTACAACCACTGTGGAAAACAATTTGGTGGTTTCTCAAAAAACTAAAAATATAGCTATCGTATGATCCAGCAGTCTCACTGCTAGGTATATACTCAAAAGCAAGAAAATCAGTACATTAAAGAGATATCTACACTCCCATGTTTATTGTAGCACTATTCACAGTAGCCAAGATTTGGAAGCAGCCTAAATGTCCATCAACAGACAAACAGATAAAGAAAATGTGATATATAATACACACACACACACACACACACACACACACACACACAATGGTGTACTATTCAGCCATAAAAATGAATGAGATCCTGACATTTGCACAACATGAATAGAACTGTAGGTCATTGTGTTAAGTGAAATGAGCCAGGCACAGAAAGACAAACTTCACATGATCTTACTTATTCGTGGGAGCTAAAATTAAAATAATTGAACTCATGGAGATGGAGAGTAGAATGATGGTTACCAGAGGCTGGGAAAGGTAGTAGAGGAAAACGGAGATAATTAATGGATAAAAGCATATATATTTAGGTAGAACTTAAAACCTCTAGTATTTGGTAGCATAAGAGGGTGAATACAATCAACAATTATTGATTGTAAATTTTAAAATAAGTAAATGAGGAGAGTTGGAGCAAGATGACAGAATAGAAGTCTCCACCAATTATCCCCTCCACAAGCACACCAATTTAACAACTATTTACATAGAAAAAAAAAAAACACACCTTCATAAGAAACAAAATCTTTCAGTATATCATCCATGAGAATTTCCCCAACCTAGCTAGAAAAGTCAATATTCAAGTTCAGGAAATTCAGAGAACCCCAGTAAGATACTTCACGAGAAGATTATCCTCAATACATATAATCTTCAGATTCTCCAAGGTCGAAATGAATGAAAAAATGTTAAAGGCAGCTAGAGAGAAAGGGCAGGTCACCTACAAAGGGATGCCCATCAGAACAATAGCAGGTCTCTCAGCAGAAACCCTACAAGCCAGAAGATACTGGGGGCCAATATTCAACATTCTTTAAAGAAAGAAATTACAACCAAGAATTTCATATCCAGCCAGACCAAACATAGGCAAAGGAGAAGTAAGATCCTTTTTCAGACAAGTAAATGCTGAAGGAATTCATTATAACCAGACCTGCCTTACAAAAGCTCTTGAAGGAAGCACTAAATATAGAAAAGAAAGATCATTACCAGCCACTACAAAAACACACTTAAGTACGGAGGCCAGTGACGCTATAAAGCAACCACACAACAATTCTGCATAATAACTAGCTAACATCATGATTACAGGATCAAATACACACATATCAATACTAACCTCAAATACAACTAGGCTAAATGCCCCAATTATAAGGTGCAGTGTGGCAAGCTGGATAAAGAACCAAGATCTATTGATATACTGTCTTCAAGAGACCGATCTTATGTGCAGTGACACCTATAGGTTCAAAATAACGGGAGAAAAGTCTATCAACCAAATGGAAAACAGAAAAAACGGAGTTTGCAATCTCAATTTCAGATAAGACAGACTTTAAGCCAACAAAGATAAAAAAAGACAAAGTAGGGCATTTCATAATGGTAAAGAGTTTAATTCAACAAGAAGACCTAAGTATCCTAACTAAATATGCACTCAACACAGGAGCACCCAGATTTATAAAGCAAGTTCTTAGAGACTTTCAAAGAGACTTTTACTCCCATACAAAAGTACTTGGAGACTTTAACACTCAACTGACAGTATTAGACAGATCATCAAGGCAGTACATTAAGAAAGATATTCAGGACCTGAACTCAACACTGGATCAAATGGACCTAATAGACACCTACAGAACTCTCTACCCTAAAACAATAGAATATACATTCTTCTCAATATCACATAGCACATACTCTAAGGTCAATCACATAACTGCATATAAAATACTACTCAGCAAATACAAAAGAACTTAAATTATAACAAGCACTCTGTCAAACGACAGGGTAATCAAATTTCTTAGTCTTAAAAATCAGAACTAAGAAATTCACTTAAAACCATACAATTAAATGGAAATTGAATAACCTTCTCCCAATGAGTTTGGGTAAATAATGAAATCAAGGCAAAATCAAGAAGTTCTCTGAAACTAATAAGAACAAAGATACAACATACCAGAATCTCTGGGATGCAACTAAGGCAGTGTTAAGGGGTAATTTATAGCACTACATGCCCACGTTAAAAAATTAGAAAAATCTCAAGTTAACCTAACATCACAACTAAAAGAACTAGAGAAACAAGTGCAAACAAATCCCAAAGCTAGCAGAAAACAAAGAAATAACTAAAATTAGAGCTGAGAAGGAGATTGAGACATGAAAAACCATTCAAAAGGTCAACAATTTCAGAAGTTTGTTTTTGAGAAAATTAATAAAATAGACTGTTAAGATAGACTAATGAGAAAAAAGAGAAAAACCAAATAAACATTATTGGAAATTACAAAGGGGATATTACCACTGACCCAACAGAAATACAAATAATCATCAGGGAATATTATGAATACCCATATGCACATAAACTAGAAAATCTAGAAGAAAGGAATAAATTCCTGGACACTTACACTGTCCCAAGGCTGAGCCAAGAAGAAGCTGAATCCCTGAACATAGTAATAATGAGCTTCAAAATTGAATCAGCCTACCAAATATATAGCCTACCAAACGAAAAAAGCTCAGGATCACATAGACGAAGAGGAGCTGGTACCATTCCTGCTGAAACTTTCCAAAAAATTGAGGAGGAGGACTCCTCTATAACTCTTCCTATGAGACCAGCATCATCCTGATACCAAAACTTGGCAGAGACACAGCAAGAAATCCCCACAAAACTTCAGACCTATACCCTTGATGAACATCAATGCAAAAATCCTCAACAAAATACTGGCAAATCAAATCCAGCAGCAAATCAAAAACCTTATCCACCACGATCACATAGGCTTTATCCCTGGGATGTAACATTGGTTCAACATATGCAAATCAACAAATGTGATTCATCACATAAACAGAACTAAAGACAAAAAACACATGATTATCTCAATAGATGCAGAAAAGTCTTTTGATAAAATTTAACACCCTTTCATGTTAAAAACTCTTAATAAACTAGTCATTGAAGGAACACACCTCAAAATGATAAGCGCCATCTATAACAAACCCACAACCAACATCATACTGAATGAACAAAATCTGAAAGCATTCCCCCTTGAAAATTGGCACAAAACAAGGATGCCCTCTCTTACTCCTTCTATTCAATATAGTACTGAAAGTTCTGGCTAGAGCAATCAGGCAAGAGAAAGAAATAAAGAGTATTCAAATAGGAAGAGCAGAAATCAAACTATCCCTGTTTGCAGATATATCTAGAAAACTTTTTAGTCTGGGCCCAAAAGCTCCTTAGGTTGATAAATAACTTCAGCAAAGTTGATAAAAAATCAACACACAAAAATTACTAGCATTCCTATACACCAAAAACAGTCAAGCCAAGAGCCAAATCAGAAATTCAATCCCATTCACAATCACCATTCAAAAGAGTGAAACACTTAGAAATGCAGCTCACCACGGAGGTGAAATATCTCTACAAGGAGAACTGAAAAACACTACTCAAAGAAATCAGAGAAGACACAAACAAATGCAAAAACATTCCAGGCTTATGGATAGGAAGAATCAGTACCATTAAAATGGCCACACTGCCAAAAGCAATTTATAGATTCAATACTCTTCCTAATGAAGTACCAATAACTAGAGAAAACTGTTTTAAAATTCATGTGAAACCAAAAAAGAGCCCAAATAGTCAAGGCAGTCTTAAGTAAAAAGAACGAAGCTATAGGCATCACACTACCCCACTTCAAGCTATACTACAGGGCTACAGTAAACAAAACAGCATGGTACTGGAACAAAAACAGACATATAGACCAACAAAACAGAATAGAGAGCCCAGAAATAATGCTGCACATCCACAACTATCTGATCTTTGACAAAGCTGACAAAAACAAGCAATGGGGAAAGGACTCCCTATTCAATAAATGGTGCTGAGATAACTGGCTAGCCATATGCAGATTGAAACTGGACCCCTTCCTTACACCATATACAAAAATTGACTCAAGATGGATTAGAGACTTAAATGTAACATCCAAAAGTATAAAAACCCCAGAAGACAACTTAGGAAATACTATTCTGAACACAGAAATGGGCAAAGATTTCACGATAAAAGACATCAAAATATTTGCAACAAAAGCAAAAATTGACAAATGGGATCTAATTAAACTAAAGAACTTCTGCACAGCAAAAGAAGCTATCAGCAAAGTAGACTGACAGCCTACAGAATGGGGGCACATTTTTGCAAACTATGCATTTGATAAAGGTATAATATCTGGCATCTGTAAGGAACTTAAACAAATTTACAAGAAAAAAACAAGCTCATTACAAAAGTGGGTAAAGGACGTGAACAGACACTTCAAAAGAAGACATACATATGACCAACAGACATATAAAATAAAGCTCAATATCACTGATTATTAGAGAAATGTAAATGAAAACCACAATGAGATATCATGTTACACCAGTCAGAATGGCTATTGAAAGTAAAAAAATAACAGATGCTGGTGAAGTTGTGGAGAAAAAGGAACACTTACACTCTGTTGGTGGGAGTGTAAATTAGTTAAGCCATTGTGGAAAACAGTGTGGTGATTCCTCAAAGACCTAAAAACAGAAATATCATTTGACCCAGCAATCCCATTACTGGTTATATACCTAAAGGAATATAAGTCATTCTATCATAGAGACATGCACACATATGTTAATTACAGCACTATTCATAATAGCAAAGTTATGGAATCAACCTAAAAACCTGTCAATGGTAGACTGGATAAAGACAATGTGGTACACATACACCATAGACTACTATGCAGCCATAAAAAAGAATGAGATCATGTCCTTTGTAGGAACATGGATGGAGTTGGAGGCCATTATCCTTAGCCAACTGATGCAGGAACAGAAACCTAAATACTACATGTTCTCAATTATAAGTGGGAGCTAAATGATGAGAACACATGGACACATAGAGAGGAACAACAGACACTGAGCCCAATCAAAGGGTAGTGACTGGGAGGAGGGAAAGGATCAGGAAAAATAATTAATGGGTATTAGGCTTAATACCTAGGTGATGAAATAATCTGTACAGCAAACCCCTATGACACAAGTTTATCTGTAACAAACCTGCGCATGCACCCATCAACTTAAAAATTAAATTACAAAAATTAAAAAAAATAAAATAACTAAATGAGTATAATTGAATTGTTTGTAACACTAAGAAAGGATAACTGCTTGAAGTGATGGATACCCCATTCACCCTGATGTGATTATTATGCATTATATGCCTGTATCAAAACATCTCAGGTACCTCATAAATGTATGGTATCTACAAAAAATAAAAATTATAAAAAAATGCAACTAATGTGAGACATGTGGTGTAGGTAGGAAATGTTTCAGCAAAATGGGGGAAGGTAAGTGTGTGGATATATGTGGGGAGAAATGGTTGTAAGAGAGAGTAGTGTGAACAAAGGCACAGATTCAAGAAAGTACACCATATTCTAGAAGAAGCCAAAGATGTTCAACTTGGCTGAAATTTAGTGTTAAAAAAATTATAAAGATATTACTGTGCAGTAATATGCACAGGTAGGCAGGCACCAAAATGGAATGAACCTCTGGTGATGTAATGGATTTTAGTTTAAATCTGAGGCAGGAATAGACTCAACCAATTCTCTTCTCTCTAAGGCTCACTATTCTTTTCCAGTCCCAGGAATGCTCCTCTAATTTATTTGTTTTGCTCAGGGTTGATTGATGATTTTATACAACAACACAATTTTTATGTAACTGTGAGCAAAGAGACTACAGGGCTTGGGTGTGAGGCAACCTGAGAAAATCTGTTTATTGGGGTCAGCCAGGAATCTCTGTGGAGCTGGAGACTCAGTAATTAAATTGAATTAAACTCAAAGTGGCCTGAAAGCCTTGTTGCAGGAAAATGCAGAGAAGCTTTTCCTGAGAGATTAAACCCACTTAGGCATATTAGTTTTTATGGTATTCCTAATGGCCACTAGAAAGTCAGTATAAGTAATGTAAAATCTATGGTGATACCTGTGATTTTGGATTTATGCTTGGCATGGCTCACAGAAAAGACCCATCTATAACTGTAGCATTGAGAGCAGGCTGGCACATTGAATCATTTCGGACCTATTTCCTAAGGCAAAGGAGAATGGCTTCAAGCCTTTGCAGATGTCTTTGCTGATGTCTGGGAGATATAAGTGAAGAAAATAGTATATTAGACGACTGTGTAAAACAAGGTCAAGCAGAAGTTTGGTCATGTAGAAGTGGGTAATTCTATTAATAAAGTAGAAAAACTTTTGGTTATTTTACCAATTCAAGATGCACTATGTGTAATAATATCCTTATGGCTATTTTCTGGGTAGTATTCTAAACATTTTCCTTAGCCCTGAAATCATTAGAAGAACGGTGAGAGCAAGTGAGAAAGATACTGCCTGTATCATTGAACAAAGTAGCTAGCTGCTCTTTTCAAAAATGAAAGACATTGGGTGCAAGTTTGTTTGAAATTAACATAGTTTGCTATGTTTTTATTTTCAATAAGCAGAAAATAGCATACAGAATCCACAGAATCATTTTATTAGCATAATTGAAGCAGATGCTATTTCTTGAGATAATAGGTAAATGTGTGACAATATATTAGGTTACTGTCTCTGGATATTTTTCATACTTTAATATGTTTGCAAGCAAATACCTTTCACAGTGAAGTCCAGGAGCAGCCAACAGAATAATAAAATAAATTTAAAAAATTTACAGCCAAGTTAGATCTCTCTTAGGAAGCACCAGGTTGAAAAATTAGTCATTTTTGCTGGCAAATTAGCGAGATATAATTGGAATAAATCGTTTTATTGAATATCTTAGTGCAATGACTATACATATGTGAATACCTAGAATTTGTTCCAATACAATATACAATGAAAATACCCATATATCTCTAATAAAAATGGTATGAGGTCTTTTGTCATAAATGATATTCAAACTTATCTTTAGGAACTTATGTATCAAAATCCAATTCCTTACCTTAATTTTCAGATGGATTTTTATTAAATTATATGTAGAATTCTTTTTTGTATTCCTTCTTGTATTGATAGTTTCTGTTTTTATGTCTGTGGCATGTGTCTACATCTTTTTCTCTATGAAGCTGTCTTTTATTTCCAATATTGCTTTTGTTTTCAGTTTAATTTAAAATTTATATATATTAAAATACACAAATCTTAAATGTACCATTCAATGTTTTTCCAGATACATACACCAGTGTAACCACCATCCCTATTGTCTTAGTCCATTCAGGCTGCTATAACAAAATACCTTAGACTGAGTGACTTATAAATAATAGGAATTTATTTCTCACAGTTCTGGAGGTGGGGAAGTCCAAGATCAAGGCACCAGTGGAACTGATGTCTGGTGAAAGCTCACTGTGCTTCATAGATGGCACCTCTTGCTGTGTTCTCACATGGCCGAAAGGTCCCAAGAGGCTAGGACTCTCCCTCTTTAATCTCTTTTATAAGAGCATAATCCATTGATGAGTGCTCTTCTCTCATGACCTAGTCACCTCCCAAAGCCCTACCATCCTAATATTAATGCATTGGGGAATAAATTTCAACATATAAATTTGGGAGTGGGGCACAGCAACATTCAGATCATAATACCCATCAAGATACAGAACATTTTTGTCAACCTAGAAAATTCTTTCTCAGTCAATGACCTCTTCACCCAAAGGCCACACTTTTATGAATTTTCCACTATAGATTAGTCTTGTTTGTTTTAGAATTTCTAATAGACTCACATAGTATGTGTACTCTTTAATGCCTGACTTTTTGCTCGACATAACTCCATGCTGTTGTATGTATCAGTAATAGATTTCTTTTTATTGCTGAGTAGGACTCCTTTTATGAATATACCACAACTTATTTATTAATTCTCCTGTTGATGGACATCTGGGTTGCTTACAAGTTTTTTGCTATTATGAATAGATATACTATGAACATTCTTGAACAAGTTATTTGTGGACATTTGTTTTCATTCTTTTTGGGAGAATACCTAGGTGTGAAAATGCTGGATCATAGGGTGGGTGTATGTTTGACTTAATAAGAAACAAACTGTTTTTCAAGGTGGTTGTACTATTTTACAGTTTCAGTGTAGTGTATGAGAGTTCTGATTGCTCCAGGTCCCCCAGTGATTGACTTGTGAGTATTTTTGCTTTTTTAGTGAGTGTGTACTGGCATCTTCTGATGGTTTTAACTTGCATTTTTCTGAGAGCTAATTATATTGAATGCTTTATTCATGGGCTTGTGACCATTTCTATGCTTTTCCTTGGGAGGTTGTTTTCTGTTCAAGTTTTTCTCATTTTTATAGAGTTGTTTGTCTTCTGGCTATTGAATTGTAGGAGTTATTTACATGTTATGAAAATAAAACCCTTGTCAAAAATATTGTATTGCAAACATTTTCTACCAGTATGAAGCTTACCTATTCTTTTTCTTAATGATCTTTTGATGAGCAGATACTTTAAATTTTGATGAATCTAGTGTATTCATTTTTGTCTTTTATGGTTATTGCTTTTTGTATTGTATTTAAGAAATGTTTGTCTAACTCCAGGCCACAAAAATAATGTTCTATGTTTTATTCTAGAGACTTTATACTTTCAACATTTACATTTAGGTTTATGGCTCATCTCAAAAACAATTTTTGTTTATGGTATAGAGTTGTTATAGTTTGGATATTTGTCCTCTCCATATCTCAGATTGAAATTTGAGCTCCAATGTTGGAAATGGGGCCTAATGAGAGGCATTTGGGTTGTAAGCGTAGATTGCTTATCAATAGATTAATGCCTTTCCTTAAGGGGGTGAGTGGTTTCTCACTCTATTAATTCCCACAAGAACTGGTTGTTAAAAACAGTCTGGCGTCTCTCCACTTGCTCTCTTGCTCCTCTCTTACCATGTGATCTCTGTACATGTTGTTACCCCTTTGCCTTCCATCATGAGAGGAAGCAGCCTGAGGCCCTCCTCGGAAACAGATGCTGGCATTTTATTTCTCATACAGCCTGTAGAACTGTGAGCCAAATAAACCTATTTTCTTTATAAATTATCCAGTCTCATGTATTCCCTTATAGTAACACTAAACAGACTAACAGAAGAGTTCATGGTTTATTTTTATTTTTTTCATGTGAATATTCAGTTGCTGTAGCACCATTTTTAAAGAAAGACTCCCTTTTCGCTATTAAATAACTTTGGTCATTTTTTGGAAAATTAATTGACCATATAAGAATTGGTCTGTTTCTGGACTCTATTCCACTGACATATTTGACTGTCATTAAGCCAATATTTCACTATCTTTATTATTGAAGCTTTATGCCAAGACTTGAAGTGAGATGATGAAAGTCCATCAGTTTTGTTCTTTTTTTCCAAGAATATTTGGGCTATTCTATGTCCTTTGAATTTTCATGTAAATAATAGTGTCAGTTTGACAATTTCTAGAAAGTTACTACCTTTGATTATGGGATTGCATTGAATTTATAGATTTGGGAAATAATTGACACCTTAGAAATATTGACTATTCTGATTCATGAACATGCTGCAATTCTGTTTGTTTAGGTCTTTAAAAATGTTTTTCAGCAATGTTATGTGGTTTTTGGTATAGAGGTATTGCACACTTTTAGTGGAATTTATTTCTAAGAACAATAAAATATTTTTTATGTTATTTTAAGTGTAATAGTCTTTTAAGTGTTATTTGCAATTTTTAATGGTAGAATATAGAAATGCAATTCTTTAGTTTAATGATTTTGTGTCCTGAAACCTTGCTAAATTCAAATATTAGTTACAATAGTTGCTTCCTAGATTACTAAGAATTTTCCATATAGACAACAATATTATCTGTGAATAAACATAATTTCACTCCTATCTTTTCAATATTTGTTTCTTTGATCTATGTTTTGCACTATTGCACTAGTTAGATTACACAGTGCAATGTTGAATAGCAGAAGTAATAGTAAACATCTGTTCTTGATCCCAGTAAGAAGTCACTAAATGTTTCATCATTAAGTATGATGTCCTCTGTAGATTTTTCTCAGATGCCTTTTATAGAATGAGGAAGTTCTCTTCTGTTTCTAGGTTGCTGAGAGTTCTTAACTCAATGAGTATTGAATCGTATCAAATGATTCAATCAAATGACACCAAAAATGATCAATTTTTAAATATTTTTGATTTTTTGATAGTTACAGTCTTTTTTGTATTTTGTTTTTGTTTTTTACTTATTCTGATAATGTGGTGAATGTAATGATTGATTTTAGATTTTAAATCAATGATATAGTTTCAGGTAAATTTCATTTGGTTATAATGATAATTATTTACAAATAGCTGGTTTTAATTTCTTAAAATTTTGTTAAGGTTGTGATATAGTTTAAACGTTTTGTCCCCTCCAAAACTCATGTTGAAATGTGATCACCAATGTTGCGGGTAGGGCTTTGTGGAAGGTGTTTGGGTCATGGGGGTGGATTCCTCATGAATCACTTGGTGCTGTCCTCATGGTAATGAGAGAGTTCTCATCGATGAGTTCACGCAAGATCTGGTTGTTTAAAATTATCTGGGATCTCCCCCTTCTCTCTTGCTCTTTTATGAAGTGTGACATACTTGCTCCCTTTTCACCTTCCATCATGATTGTAAGCTTCCTGAGACCTTATCAGAAGCTGAGCAGACATGGGTGCCATGTTTGCACATTCTGTGGAACCATAAGCTGCATAAACCTCTTTTTGATAATAAATTACACAGTCTCAGGTTTTCCTTTATAGCAATGCAAACAGGATGAAGACAGAAAATTGGTATTGAGAGTGGGGTTTTGCCATGAAGATGCCTGATAATGTGGAAGCAGCTTTGGAACTGGGCAACAGGCAGAAGTAGGAAGAGTTTGGAGGGCTCAGAAGACAGGAAGATGGGGGGAAGTTTGGAACTTCTTAGAGACTTGTCAAGTAATTATCACCAAAACGCTGATATAAATATGAACAGTGAAGGCCAGGCTGATGAAGCCTCAGATGGAAATGAGGAAGTTATTGAGACCTGGAGTGAAGATCACCCACGTTACACCCCAGGAAAGAACTTAGCTGCATTGTGTCCATGTCTTAGGGATTTGTGGAAGCTTTAGCTTATGAATTATAACCTAGAGTATCTGGCAGAAGAAATTTCTTAGCAGCAAAATGTTCAAGGTGTGGCATAGCTGCTTGTAACTGTCCACACTCAGATATGAGAGCAAAGGAATGACTTAAAATTGAATCTTATATTTAAAAGGGAAGCAGAGAATAAAAGTTTGGAAATTTTGCAGCTTGGCCATGTGGTAGAGAAGGCAAGAGCATTCTAAGGAGAGGAATTGAAGTGGGTAGGAAGCAACCGCTTGCTAGAAAGATTTATATGACTAAAAGGGAGCCAAGTGCTAATAGCCAAGACAATGGGAAAAAGGTCTTGAAGGCATTTCAGAGATCTTTGAGGCAGCCCTTTCCATCACAGGCCCAGAGGTCTAGGAGCAAAGAATGGTGTCAGGGACCAGGCTCTGGACCCTGTTGCTCTGTGCAGGCTTGCACACTGCTCCCTGCATCCCTTGCTGCTTGAGCTCCAGCCATGACTCAAAGGGACCCAGATACAGTTCAGGCTGCTACTCTGGAGGGCACAAGCCCTACGCTGTGGTGGTTTTCATGTGGTGTTAATTCTTCAGGCCTTCAGAATGCAAGAGTTAAAGGAGGCTTGGCAGTTTCCACCTAGAATTCAGAGTATGTATGGGAAAGGCTGGGTGCCCAGGAAGAAGCCTGCTGTAGGTTTGGTGCCACTGCAAAGACATTCTACTGCAGAAGTGCCAAGGAGAAATATGGGGTTGGAGCCCCCACAAAGAGTCTCCACTGGGGCACTGCCCAGTGGAGCTGTGGGAAGAGTGCCATCACCTTCCAGACCCCAGAATAGTAGAGCCATTTATTCCAGTAAACCCAGTAAAATATCATAAGTCAGAAATGCATTAAATATGCTTCCCTACTGAACATGCTTTGTAAAATTTCAGTCCTTAGCAATTTATTCAGATCTGTTTTATGACACAGCATATAGTGTACCTTGATGACTATCTATGGGCATTAAAGTATGTGCATTTTGCAGTATATATTTTTCCCTAAATGTCAATTGGATCAAAGCAGTTGATGTTGTTGTTTAGCTATTTTATAGTCTACTGATGAATTTTATCTAGTTATTCTTTTAATTATTTTGAGAGGGCTATTAAAATTTCTACCTAATTTGTGGGTCTGCTGTTTACTCCCTTTAGTTCTGTTAGACTTTCACTTCATGTATTTTGAAACTGTTATTAGATAATACACATTTATGATTGTTTCATCTTCCTAATAGAGACTTTTAGAATTGTAAAATGTCCTTTGTTATTTCTGGTAAATTTCCTCATCATAAAAAATTTATATTACATGAATATTTAAAAAGATAATTTGATGCTAATATAACATATACAGTAATATTTATTAACACATTGATTCACCTTTCTTATGCTTAGTCCTTTCATGGAATGCCTTTCACTATCCTTCTACTGACTATCTTGCTGTGTTTTTATGTTTAATGTGCATTTCTTGCAAATAGCATATATTTAGATCTTGCTTTCTTAAATTCAGTCTGACATTCTGTTTTTTACATAAGGTATTTCATTTATTTACATTTAATTGACGTGATTGGGTTTATGTTTAACCTTTTATTATTTTTTTCTCCATTATCCTTCCTGTTTTTTTTTCTCTTTTGGTTGTTCCTGTTCCTCTTTTTCTACTTCCTTTTCTTTTAATCAAATATTTGTTAAAATTTTATTTTAAATCCTCTTGTATTAATTTGCTATCTCTACTGTAACAAAGTACTACACTATACATAGTTTAAACAAAAGAAATGTCTTTGTCTCAGTGTGCAGGGGTGTCCAAGGGAGAGAATACAGTTGTGGGTTCTTAGTTTCTGTCTCTGGTTGGGCTAGTAAAACCCCTTCCTCATGCCTCTTTTCCACTAATCACCAGAGACAGAAACGAAAAACCATGGCTTTAGGCTGCTAAAAGCCTAAAACAAAACAAAACAAAACAAAACAAAACAACAACAACAAAATAAGGCAGGTTGGACAAGCTTGTAAGAGTAGAAGCCTAAAATCAAGGTGTTGGCATAGTTGGTTCCTTCTGAGGACCATGAGAGAGGAATTTGTTCCAGCCTCTCTTCCTTGGCTTATAGAAGGCCATCTCCTTATTCACCTGGCTTTCTCCCTGTGTGTGTGTGTCTGTCTCCAAATTTTACCATTTAAAAGGACACAAATCCTATTAAATTAGGAGCTACCCAAATTACCTCATTTTAACTTGATTACCTCTGTAAAAACCATATCTCCAAATAAACTCACATTTTGAAGTACTGGGGATTAGAACTTAGATATATATAACTTTTAGAGGGACAAAATTTAAACCCTGATACTTCTATTAACTTTTAAGTTATACCTCTTTGGATTTACATTTATTGGTTGCCATAGGTGTTATAATATGTATCTTTTACTCATCACAGTTGATGTAGGTTAATATTGTACCATTTTTTTTTGTAAAATGCACAAGCCTCCAGACAGCATAGATCCATTTAACCTCCTACCCCATCCTTTGTGCTATTAATATTATGTATATTACATGTACATACATTGTAGACCTAACAATAAAAGTTACAATGTTTTCTTTAAATACGCAAGGGCTTTTAAAGAAATTCAGTGAAAAAATGGATAATATATGTATTCATTTATTTGTATTTCTGATGCTCTTTATTCCTTCTTGTAGATCTGAAGGAATCTATATATTATGATTTATTTTAGCTGAATAACTTCCTGTAGCATTTAATTTAGTATAATCTGCTATAAATCAGTTCTCTCACTTTTTGTTGTCTTTATTTTTCCTTTATTTTAAAATAATAATTTCTATGCTGATAGTATTTTTTCTTTCCACTGCTTTTTGGATTCCATTATTTCTTATGGGACATTAGCCAGTGTTCATATATATATGGTCAAATTTCAATGGAGTTACATCCCAATAAACCCAATAAAATATCACATCAGAAATGCATTTAATATACCTCCCTACCTAACATTATAGATTAGCCTAGCCTACCTTAAATGTGCTCAGAACAGTTATATTAGTCTATAGTTGGGCAAAATCATCTAACACACAGCCTGTTTTATAATAAAATGTTGACTATTTCATGCAATTTATTGAATACTGTATTAAAAGTGAAAAACAGGATGGTTGCATGGATATTCAAAGTAAAGTTTTTATTGAATGTGTATTGCTTTCACATACCATTGTAAAGTTGGAAAATTATAAGTCTAACCATTGTAAGTCATAGACTGTCTGTATGTATTTTGCCTCTATGTAATGCGTTCTCTGGCTTCCCTGAAATTTCCTTTTTATCCTTTGTTTTCACCAGTTTGACTTGGATGTACATAAATGTGGTTTTCTTTTAATTTATTTCCATTTTGTTCCACTGAACTTCAAGGATCTAAAGGTTTACATTTTTTTTCTGTATGTGGGGAATCCTTGGCCATGATTTATCCAAATATTTTTATCACCAATTTTGTTTAGCTCATCCAGTTAAATTTTTATTTCAGATATTGTATTTTTTAGTCCTAAACTTTTGATTTGGTTATTTGCTAGGTTTTAAATTTTTTGTTGATTTTCCATGTCTCTTCATTTTTTATCACAATAATTTCTTTTACATGTTGGAATATATTTATAATAAGTGCTTTTAAGTTATTGTCTGCTAACTCCAACATCTGAATCATTTAAGGGTTGTTTTCTCTTGCTTGATATTGCTCTTGACTATGAGTAAAATTTTCCTATTTGTTCACATAGATAGTAATCTTTGATTGTATAATGGATATTTAGAGTGATACATTGTAGAGACTCTGAGTTTTATCATCTTCTGAGGAGTATTAATTTTGGATCCATTGGGCTATTTGGTTAACCTCAAACTCCAAACTCCACATCCTGTGGAGGCTAGGATATGCTTAGTTTCTCTGGCCTTGCACCTACTGCTTTCTGCCAGTCTCCTTGGAATTTTCCACACATGTGCTGTTCAGGGACTAGCCAAGAAATTTTGGTGATGTGGCAGTGGTGATCGTAGTGTGATGTGTGTGTGTGTGTGTGTGTTTGTGTGTGTGTATGTTTTATATATATAAATGAATTACTGGATGTGGCTTCCTCCCTTATGGTCTCATCCCTCACTTTTCAGAAAAACTTTCAGCCCTGAAATTTATCCCCTGACTCTTAAAGGTAGTGAGACTTTAGCTTTAAAATTGAGTTCTAGATATCCCATTGGTTTGTGAGTGTCCATATGCACAAAGTCACATACACACAAATTTCACCTACTGTAGTCTCCTTATTTCAAAAGGAAATTTCATTTTTTGCTTGCATTTGACCACTGTCTTGTATCTTTAAATAGTTGGTTTTTTTGTTTTAATATTTTGTCCTGATTTATAATTCTAGTCTTCGGTAAACTGAATCCAATATAAGCTACTCTATCATTAGTGGAAGCAGAACTCTGCATATATATTTGTGACATTAAAATAGTATAAATTTTTAAAGCACAGGTGTTTTTTTTCAAACTCCTAAAATAATCCACTAATGAACTATGCATAGAACAGGATATCGGCAAATTCCTGCTGAATTAAATGGGTCTGCCTGAACAGAATTATTTGGCATATCTACATAACAATTTGATTATTATTAAAATATCCCATGATAGCATGGGCAGGGGACTTCTAGAAATTCACGAAGTGTAGTAAAAGCCATCATTTTAAAGATAATTTCTTAAGTTATGTTTGCCACTATTTGTAGACCTGGTTTTGCTGAATTAGACTTAAAATGTTGGATTCTTTCTCCTGGGTCTATGACTGCAAATCAAGATGTTGCCACCAGGTGAAAATGTTTCCCTGGTTGTAGGCATGTAAGCCAGTCACCTTAAGTCTACGGTATTAAACCTGTCAATGCTAGTAACAATTTCAAATGAATGCTAGTGACATTTCAAGTTTGGTATTAAGAAAGATTCTAAGGTTTAATATAGATAAATCAGGAAAGAATGACATGAGCAAATAGCCCCACCTTCCACAGGCTCTGGAATGAACAGTGGTGTTATATCTACTATGTGTTTCTTACTTTGAACTAGGCTTTCGACTGTATTACTTTCTGAGAGACATAGCCATCTTACATTGTCCAGTTGTTTTATTCTCTCTTGGCTCCAGAAGAAAGCCACGATCAATATCTCACCTAACCAGTATATAAATATTACTTGCTTATGTGAACAAATAACTTCAGTTTTAAACTTAACGAAAATTGTATGAAAGCAAAAAAGTTCTATTTTTAATCATTTTACTTCCCAACATAGTTTTTAGGAACACATTATGGTGAAAAATGGAAACTTGCTGCTTATATTAGAGAGTTTACTTCTCTGCTGATGCCCTAATTTTACCCAAGAAGGGAATTATTGAAAATTCTTAGCACAGGCAGAGTAAATTCTCAAAAATATCTAATAGCATACACAGTCCCCCTTGGAACATTGCCAACATTTTTTATAGCACAATGTTGCCTTTAAATATGCTTTTTAATTTTCCAATTATACATACCCATAGGGAATGCCTGTAGCAGACACTTCCTTTAGAGGAAAGGTGACAAGATCTCTTTATTCTAAACTAAATTATGCGATCTCAACAAATTTGAAATTATTTGCTTGGTTTTAGGAATTCCTGTGGGAATAAGCTAGAATAGCCAATGTGGGAGTCATTCTCCAAAAAATTGATATCCTGCACATAGTTTCCTTATAAAACCTTCAGAAAAAGGAAAGTAAAAAGTGTTGACATCTAATTACCTTTGAAATATAGAGAAAAAAATACAGGAATATGATTAATTTGTCAGGAATAAATAAAAAAATTTGGAAATATAATTTACCTCTATTGCAACTCTTATCCATCCATTCATTTGTTAATTCTACAAAGATTTATAGAGCACTAAATATGTGCCAGATACCATCCTAGGTGACAAGACATGTCTGATGCCCCAAAGGCTCACAGTATAGGGGAATGCACATATAAACAAATTATTTCAATGTAGTATGTTGACTGTTATGACAGGTTTGTGACTACTGTTGTGGGAATACTTTTGAGAGGTAACACGCTCAGTTTCATGTGTCGCAAGGTTTATAAAGGAATGCGGAGGGCAGATTCTAGCTTCAAGTGAATCTTTATCCAAGACTCAAACAATATCACTAAAAGCTTGTACCTCCCCATATTAGACCCTCCTTTTTTGATATTGGTTTTATTATAAGGCAAACTCTTCAAACTCAAGATGGGTTCTAGCAGCTCCTGGGGTTGTGTATTTTCTCATTCACATCCAGATACAAAGAATATTCACTTTTTCCAATGGTTGAGAGACACGCAGGTATTGAGTCTCCTGATGACTTATTGCTTTGCCTTAGATTATGAGTCTGTCCTTGACTCAGTCACCATGGCCAAGGAAAGCTGGTAGTAGCAAAAAGGTAGATTAAATTAGAACAGGGTGTAAAGATTAAATTTCTTTTGCTAAGTGGCTTGCAATTTGGGGTATTTCTGGGATAACAGAGACTAGATAATATACTGAGAAGGTAACCAATAAATGCCCACTAAAATGTGCTCCAACCTGCTTCAGAGTGATCGTCTGCCTGTCCCTCATATCTAGAGCTAACAACTGAAATAAGTCCAGTCTACATAGCATTCATCTAAGACCCTCAGGAAACTGACACCTGTGTATCTTACACTTCCCTTCTTACTGATACCAGTCAAATTGATATCAGCCTATGGACTTTCCACCTGAAACCAACCCAATCACTAAGTGAGCAGATGCTTAACTCTGGGTTCACTCATTCATTCATTCAATATTTGTTGGTTGTCTTATTCTGTACCAGCAGTATACTAGTGCTATTTAACAATGTTTAGCAAGACACAGTCTGGCACATATTCTACTAGAGGAAAGAAGGTAAATGCAAAATCAGAATAAAATGTTGATGGTAGAGCTACAGATTGCTAAGAAGCATGTAGATAGTGCTTTCGACCTTGTTTGGAGGCATCAAGGAAGCTTCCTAGAGGAAGTGAAATCTGGATGATAAATGTCAGATGAATAGGCATTAGGCAGGGGAAGAGGTGGGCGAACACCATCATAGCTGCTTTGTACATGGTGAGTCTACACTTCTCCGTCTAAACATCTTATCAGATACTACTAATTATTCAGTATCTCTCTTTTCACCAAGTGAAATCCAATGTTATGTCAAATTAAAATGTGCTCACTTAAAAATACTTCAAGAATCACTTCAGGTTTTTTTTTTTTTCTTCAAACAAACATAACCCAAACCAAACAAAGCCAACATACAAAAAAGAAACAAAACCAGGAAGGCAGTGTTTCTAAAAGGCAGTAGAAAATAGTTTCAGGAAATAACTTCCCTAGGTGAAGAGATTTTCAAAGTTAGTTTTAAAACTAAATAAATATACTCAATTTGAGATGGTGTATTGCTGTGTCACCCAGGCTGGAGTGTAGTGGCGCTTACTGCAACCTGCACCTCCCGGGTTCAAACGATTCTCCTGCCTCAGCCTCCCGAGTAGCTGTGATTACTGGTGCCCACCACCATGCCTGGCTAAGTTTTGTATTTCTAGTAGATACAGGGTTTCACCATGTTGGCTAGGCTGGTCTCGAACTCCTGGCCTCAAGTGATCCTCCTGCCTCAGCCTCCCAAAGCCCTGGATTACAGGGGTGAGCCACCATGCCTGGCCAAAAATAGACTTAAAAGTTTTTGTTAAAAAATTAGATTGGCAAAAATTGATGTTACTACAATACTTTTTCTCCATTTATTCATCTTTTTACTTCTTTGATTTTAATGTTTGTTAAAATTCAGATTCCCCTTGAGAAATTTTATTTTATCCTGACAATTGAAATCCATTAAAAATGCTCATTTAATGCCCTCAAATATTCAAATAAAAAGAATTTGCACTTCAGTGCTTTGAGTCATAAAAGTAAATGATTTCTAAAGTCCATTAAAGCCTTAACCTTATGCTTAGTAGGCAGGTCTCCTTTTTACTAATGAGGTTTTAGCAAAGGCATAAAAGATTAAGTGATTATCTTAGCCAGGGAGAGGCTGAGGTAATGAAGGTAGGCACTGTTGCTGTTCTTTTCATCCTAAGCTGGCATTTACCTTAATTCAGTATTTCTTTGCTTGACAAATAGTACTCCTCAGAGTTTATTAAAATATTTCAGAGGGGTTCATTCAGTTGGAGGTCTTTGTTTCTTATAATTATTGCAATAGAAACTGGTTCCAAGTTACTTAATTATTTAAAAAATCATGTATATAATTATAATAGCACTTTGTGTTATAGAAGCAAGTGCCATTTATGGCCCTGATTGTATTCAAAGGAATATGACTTCTGGTATATGAAGTCATATTTATTTTATCTATTTTCCTGGACACCATGATTCAATTGAGTGTCAAGTTTGGAAATTATTCTACATAATAGTGGGAGAAAAATTTGAAACTATCACCAATCTTGGATGAGAGAGGAGAGGGAAAAATGAGCCCTCAGTAGATGGCAGATCACACATTCTGCAATACGACTATAAGGGCAGTCTACTAAGATTATGGATGCTTGAGTGATCAATTTCCTGAGGAAATCCGTGTTTTAGTATCTTCATGGATACAAGATGCCTCCTGCATTTTTCTATCCTTTAAAGATGAACACGGATGCTCACTAAACACTGAAAACCATAATCTTTAAGAACTAGAAGAAGGTTTATTTGCTGTATCATCCACACACACTCGATCTTCGTCTTCCTTTAATCGACTGTTGGTGGAAAGCACAGTTGTAGAGAAATGAGGTTTGCCTGCAACATTATCCAGGGTCCATCCTCCAGATTGCTGGGTTTCTAGAGGCAGGTGTGGTAGTGACAATAGTGACAGTGGTGATAGCAGCATTCCAATTCTACTGGGTATCAGATATGGATATCAGATATGTTGGTGGGTCTTTTCATTTAAAATATCAAGTGGTGGCATGATGGCTTTCTGGTGGGTCAATTGTCATTCTGAATGTACTTTGTGAAGGCCCTGACTAGATCCTGCTGAGGAGTCCTGGCCAAAAATCTATGTTTGATATTTCAGGCCCAACCACAGGCAATGACAAAGGCTTTATCTGGCAAACCCCTCCGAGGAAAGTTGCCCTCCCCAGACTTGGGGCATACCCAGTGCATTGCAATCTTTAAAGAGAATTGCATTCTGGAACTCAGATTCCCCTAATGGCCCATGCTCTTAAACATATTTGCATTCCTAGCCTAGGTGTCTTCATTCAGAAGTTTCTTTATCTGAGGGCTTCCTGCTGGAGTTTTCTTCAGGTGCTTCTACTGAAGCTTTCTTAAGAGTAGAGTGGGAGGAGACCTTAAGAAACCGTTCCCTCCTCCGACTCCATACTCTTCTACTCCTAGCTCTCCTTGTCTCACTCCAACCTCCTGCTCCAGGGTTCATAATACTACTGGAGATTTTTGTTTGGGGCTTCCTCAATCGTGAGCTGACCCCCATGTCTGTCCTGATTCACTGACCCTCCACTAGTGCACCTTTCTGGGGAATTTAGAAGACCTGGGTGAGTTGGCAGTTTCTTTGGTTTTGGCCTCTTGCTTATACTATTGCAGTAAGTGATTACAGTCTTGACTGTTACTTCGATCTTCGGCTGCTGCTTTAATCAACTTCTCCAACAACGGGCAGCTCAGTTCTCTATCCAGCTCAGCTGAGTTTCCGACACTGTTACTCCAGGTCATCCAATGGTTTTGTTTAAAACAGCTTATGTAAAATCTCTTCCAGTTTAAAATCCTTAAAGTGGTTTCTTTTTCCTGTGTTGAACAATTGCCTCTGCGGAATTTGTTACCTTTAATTTGAGCTGTTTGGTCTTAGTGGTCAAGCAGGTATTGCAGACTGGAAAGGTCATCCTTTTCATGCCATGACAACGATCTTATCTTTGACAAACCTGACAAAAACAAGCAATGGGGAAAAGATTCCCTATTTAATAAGTGGTGTTGGGAAAACTGGCTAGCCATATGCAGAAAACTGAAACTGGACCCCTTCCTTATACCTTATACAAAAATCAAATCAAGATGGATCAAAGACTAAAAGCTAAGACCTGGGACCATAAAAATCCTAGAAGAAAATCTGGGCAATACCATTCAGGACATAGGCATGGGCAAAGACTTCATGGCTAAAACACCAAAAGCAATGGCAACAAAAGCCAAAATTGACAAATAGGATCTAATTAAACTAAATAGCTTCTGCACAGCAAAAGAAACTATCAGCAGAGTGAACAGGCAACCTACAGAATGGGAGAAAATGTTTGCAATCTATCCATCTGACAAAGGGCTAATATCCAGAATCTAAAAAGAACTTAAACAAATTTACAAGAAAAAAACAAACAACCCCATCAAATACTGGGCAAAGGATATGAACAGACACTTTTCAAAAGAAGACATTTATGCAGCCAACAGACATATGAAAAAAAGCTCATCATCACTGGTCATTAGAGAAATGCAAATCAAAATCACAATGAGATACCATCTCACTCCAGTTAGAATGGTGATCGTTAAAAAGTCAGGAAACAACATGCTGGAGAGGATGTGGAGAAATTGGAGTGCTTTTACACTGTTGGTGGGAGTGTAAATTAGTTCAACCATTGCGGAAGAGAGTATGGAGATTCCTCAAGGATCTAGATCCAGAAATACCATTTGACCCAGCAATCCCATTACTAGGTATATACCCGAAGGATTATAAATCATTCTGCTAATAAAGACACATGCACATGTATGTTTATTGCAGCACTATTCACAATAGCAAAGACTTGGAACCAATCCAAATGTCCATCAATAATAGACTGGATAAAGAAAATGTGGCACATATACACCATGGAATACTATGCAGCCATAAAAAAAGATGAGTTCATGTCCTTTGCAGGGACATGGATGAAGCTGGAAACCATCATTCTCAGCAAACTATCACAAAAACAGAAAACCAAACACCACATGTTCTCACTCATAAGTGCGAGTTGAACAATGAGAACACATGGACACAGGGAGGGGAACATCACACACTGGGACCTGTTGGGGGCTGGTGGTCTAATGGAGGAATAGCATTAGAAGTAATACCTAATGTAGGTGACGGGTTGATGGGTGCAGCAAACCACCATGGCACATGTATACCTATGTAACAAACCTGCATGTTCTGCACATGTACCTGAGAACTTAAAGTATAATACAAAAATACTTTAACTGCTCACTGGGTAAGAGAAACATCATGTAGTATTCCTATTCATTGATAAACGAATAGTATAGAGCAGTATTTCCCATGCTGTGAGACCTATACCACTAGGAGCATTTGAGTTGATTTTAGGTGGAATGCAAAGTAATTTTCCTTTCATTAGTTATGTTTTAATTTTAAAGTGTTTTCAGAAATGTAACTATTAAAAAAAGAATGAATTTGGAGAAAAGTATTAAGTGAATCATAACAGAGAAGAAATATGGGTATGGCAAAATCTTGAGGGTGGTCCAATACAATCGTTGATGTACAATAGACAATAACTGTTAATATTTAGACACTATAGAGCTTACCTCAGGTTGAGGTCTATGTTCTTCCTATCTTCTGCTGCCCCTTTTACAAAATGACATGTTGATAGGAGAGCAAGGTGACAGGAAGGTGTGTCAGTGAGAGAGAGAAGCAAATACATAATTGGCACCAAAGAGTATGCAGCAGAGGTCCCAGGGCAATGACAGGCTCAGGCTCACGAGTTGGGTCTTGTATCAGAAAGTGAAAATAATATCATATTCTCTATTTTCTTGATAATTAATCAAAATAAATTTGTCATTTGATTCCTTCTTGTCCTGTGGCAACTATTGTGCTATTTACATAAAAAAAAATGAGTCCTAGATTTAAAAAATAAATAAATAAACATAATGCAGACAGAAAAAGGACGTTAGCTAAACATTAAGGAAATATGAATAAAATGCTGACTTTAGCTAATAAAATATATGACTATTGATTCACTAATAGTTAAAAAAGGACAATGTATAATGAAAAAGCTGACTCCATATGTTGATGTTTGATGGATGACGACTTTTAAGCGTTACTTATCTATCTTCCCCTTCTGCCCCCAATCTGGGCAAGCTAATAATAAAGCTTGGGTGTTCCCCTCTTTAGTACTAGTGGGAGATTCAAATCACATAAGCTCCTGTCCCCAGAAAGGAATGCTCACCTTGGCCCAACACTTCAACCATAATAAAAATTCTAAGAATGGGTGGGTGATGTCACCAACACGGTGAAATAGGAAACTTCTGACTCTCCCTACAATCGCAGATGTTCCAGATAAACTATTTACAGAAAAACTCCCCCGAGACAAAACCAAAGGCCAGTCAAGAGACTTCTACCCAACAGGCAATTGAGAAAACGTCCACATTAAGTGGGTGGGAAAAGCTGACGCACACTTGGGCATGGACCCCACCCAGGGCATTGCACCACGATACTGAGAAAGAAATCTCAACACCCAGGTTCTCTGTGTAGAGAGGAAGATCTGGACCTCACGTAAAGGACCCAAACCCTAAATTTCCCCAAGATGTGGTGGTTGATTCACAAACTTTAGAAATGCAAGGGATTAGATATGCCCATGCCCCTCTAGACTGTAGGAAAAAAAGTGGAAGTTTATACATGTGCATAAGCACTACTAAGGACTTTATCCCCTTGGGAGCACTAAAGGAGCTTTAAAAAACCCACAGCTCTCTGTTTCCCCTGCCCAAGTCCTCCTGAGAGGGGTTTACAAAACACCTTTCCAGTAGCTGTCCGGCAGCCTGGATTCTAACTAACTTGCATCCATGGAGGAGTTAAAGAGACAGTCAATTATTAACCCTCCTCTAGTTTGGGAAGAGTTTGCACTCACATCAAGTGTCTCAAATCCTGCAACATTCACCTAAGGAATAGTATTTGAAATCTCCTAGCTTTGGGTACCAAAGGGACCAGTGTACACATGTCATTGTCCACCAGAGGGAAAAAGAGGGATTTAAAAATAGGCAGGCAAACTCCTCTAGAGGCTTCATTCTTCTGGAGCTGTGCAGAGGAGGGGTCAAAAAATGCCACTACCTGTTTTTCCCCAGAAGGAGTTTAGGACACACATCGATAGTCCTAGTTTTTAATGCTACCCCCTGAAAGGCTCCATTCTAAACCTAGTAGTTGCGGGAACAAAAGACTAGGCATATGAGTCTTCCTTCATTCTGGAACAAAGACATAGTTTTAAGTGGGCATCCAAACACTTCCAAGGGCTACACTCCCTTGGAGCAGTGCAGAAAAGGGTCAACAACATTAAACTCTCACTTAATCTCCAGAAGAGGCTTACAACACACATTCCCAGTGGCTATTTGATGGCCTGGTCTCTAATGAACCTTCCTCAAGAAGCTAACGGGGCAAACAAACAATAAACCTTTGGTACCCAGAGCCAGAGCTCAGCATTCCATGAGACCTCCCCCTTGTTTGCCCCAGAGATAAATCCAGGCCTATTTCTGGGATGAGTTTGACTGTGCACTGAGTGCCACAACTTTCGTGTCTCCCACCTAGGGAACTGTGTAATTAACCACCTCTGAAAATTGAGGGGGCGTTGTGATTCTGAGTGACCCAAGACTAGAGAAAACAAATAGATGTATATATAATGGACTTACACCTAGTGGCTATTCCTCCAAGATTAGAAGGTGCAGCTTGAACATAAGTATAGGCATTTTCCACAGATCTTCTGTCTTAGTGCAGAGAGAAAGGAGATAAGTTCTTGCACCCAGTCTCCCCATAATGATAGGAAGAATGGGAATACATATCTAACATCTCAATCTTTCCAGCTACATCTTAAATAGACTATCTCCTATCATACCATTTTTGGGGTACTGACAAGATGTAGCATATCCTAAGCTCCAGGGGGCTATAAAAACAGAGATAGTAGTCTAAACAACAACAACAAATAGAGAGGCACTTTGAAATCTCTGGCCAAATGAATGGGTGAAAATTTTCTCTTATACAAGTCCAGTCTTGGAGAGATGTAGGTGTATTATTTAAGGCACAGAAACCAACACAGAGAATCAAGGAATATGAAGAAAAAAGGGAATATGTTCCAAAGAAAAGAGCAAGATAAATCTCTAGAAATCAACTCAAATAAAGGAGAGTATGCAGTTTACCTGACAGGGAATTCAAAATAATGGTATCAAAAGATATTCACAGAGGTCAAGACAACTAGGCAAGACGTTGATGACTTCAAATAAGACATAGAAAGCATAAAGTACATACCAAATGAAAATCATATATTTGAAGAATGCTATAACTGAACTAAAAAATTAATAGAAGGGTTTAACATCAGACTTTATGAAGCAGAAGAAAGTAGCACTGAAAATGAACCAACATGAGGAACAAAAGAAATTAAAAAGAGTGAAGATAGCTTAAGAGACCTACGGAATATCATCAAGTGGAACAGCTTATACATTATTGGCATGGAAGAAAAAGAAGAAAGAGTAAAGAACAGAAAACGTATTCAAAGAAATAATTGCAGAACACTTCTCACATCTGGGAAAGGAATTCTGGGAAAGGAATTAGAAAGCCAGATCCATTAAGCCCGTAAGATATCAAGAAGATGAATCCAAAGAGACTAACACCACAACAGATCATAGTCAAATTTTCAAAAGTTAAAAACAGAGAGTGTTGAAAGCAGCAAGGGAAAAGTGAATTGTTACATATAGAGGAACTTTCATAAGCTATCAACCAATTTACCACGAGAAACCTTGCAAATCGAAGGGAGTGGGATGATAAATTCAAAATTCTGAAATAAAAAAGATTGTCAACCAAGAATACTATACCCAGAAATCCTGCCTTTTAAAAATTAAGTGTTAAGAAAAATTATCAAATAAAAGCTGAGAGTATCCATTACCACTAGACCTGGATTACAAAAAATGCTAAAGTTCTTCAAGCCTGAAGGAAGAGGATGAAAATTGGTGACATAAAAATCATATAAAATACAAAATGCATGGTAAAAGTAAGAAAGTACATTATCAAATTCAAAGCATTCTGATACTGTAATGGTGGTGGGAAAATCAATTATTAGTATATATCTAGTATAAAGATCAATAGGCAATAAAGTGACAATAATTTGCTAATATTATGAAAAGATGTAAAGTGTGACATCTAAAACATAAAACATGGGAGGAGATGGAGTAAAAGAGGAGTTTATATATGCAATCAAAATTAAGCTCTAATCAGTTTAAATTAACTTGTTATAAGATTTTTTATGTAAGCCTCAGGATGAACACAAAGGAAAAACTAATAGTAGATACACAAAAAAATGAAAAGGACCAAAGCCTACCTGTACAGAAAACCATTAAATCACAGAGAATGCAAAAGAGGAAGAAGTGAACAAAAGATTACAGAACACAACTAGGAATCAATTAACAAAATTGCAGAAGTCTATACCTATTAATAATAACCTTGAGTATAAATAAATTAAGTTCTCCAAATAAAGGATATAAAGTGGTAGAATAGATTAAAAAACAAGACCTAATTATATGTTGCCTGTAGGAGACTCACTTCACCTATAAGGACACACATAGACAAATTGTGAAGGGAAGGGAAAAGATATTTCATGCAAATGAAAACCAAGAGCTAGGAGGAATAGCTATATTTATATCAGATAAAATAGACTTCAAGTCAAAGGCTTTAGAAAGTGATAAAGAAGTCATTATGTAATGATAAAATTGTCCATTCAGCAAGAGCATATAATAATTGTAAACATATATGCAACCAATACTGGAACAAGTATATAAAGCATGTATTATTAGATATAAAGGGAGAGATAGACTGTAATCCAATTATATTAGGGGACTTCATTCCACTTTCAAAAATGGAAAAATACTTTAGACATAAAATCAACAAAGAAACATCAGAGTTAGACTATACTCTAAGCCAAATGGGCCTCTGATATTTGCAAAACATTTAATCCAACAGCAATAGAATACATATTCTTCCAATTGGTGTTTAGTGGTATAACCTTTCCTCTAACGCTGCTTTAGCTGTGTCCCAGAGATTCTAATATCTTCTATCTCTGTTTTCATTAGTTTCAAAGAATGTCTTGATTCCTGTCTTAATTTTATTGTTTACCCAAAAGTCATTCAGGAGCAGATTATTTAATTTACATGTAATTGCATGGTTTTGAGGGATCTTCTTGGTATTCAATTATATTTTTATTGTGTTGCATTCTGAAAGTGGGGTTGGCATAGTTCTAGAATTTTTAAAAATTTTAT
This sequence comes from Homo sapiens, assembly GCF_000001405.40. Classification (NCBI taxonomy): domain Eukaryota; kingdom Metazoa; phylum Chordata; class Mammalia; order Primates; family Hominidae; genus Homo; species Homo sapiens. The sequence goes on along the minus strand of NC_000010.11, from coordinate 90,492,941 downwards.
TGAGAATTGCTTTATGACTGAGCATGTGCTTGATTTTACAGTATGTGCCATGTGCAAATGAAAAGAATGTATACTATGTTGTCTAGGGGAGTGTTCTGTAGATGGCTATTAGGTCCATTTAGTCAGGTCTCAAGTTTAGGTCCCAAAAATATTTTTTAGTTTTCTGCCTCGACAGTCTGTCTAATACTGTCAGTAGGCCATTGAAGTCTCCTATTATTTTGTGGTTTTTAAAGTCTCTTCATACTTCTCTAAGAACTTGTTTTATAAATTTTGGTGCTCCAGTGTTCTGTGCATGTATATTTAGGATAGTAAAGTCTTCCTGTTGAGTTGAACCCTTTATCATTATGTAATGCCATTCTTTGTCCTTTTTGATAATCATTGGTTTAAAGTCAGTTTTGTCTTAAATTAAAATAGCAACCCCTGCCCTTTTTTCTTTTCTATTTGTTTGATAGAGCTTTCTCCATCCCTTTACTTTGAGTCTATGGTTGTTATTGCATGTGAGATGGGTCTCTTGAAGACATTGTACAGTTGAGTCTTGCTTCTTTATCCAGCTTGCCACTACCTGTCTTTTAAGTGGGATGTTTAGCCCATTTATGTTCAAGGTTAATATTTATATGTACAGATTTGATCCTGTCATTATGTTGTTAGCTAATTGTTATGTAGACTTGATTGTGTAGTTGCTTTATAGTGTCAATGATCTATGTACTTATGTGTGTTTTGTGGTGGCTGTAATGTTTTCTGTTTCCACGTTTAGCACTGCTTTAGGACCTCTTGTAAGGGATATTTTGATGTAACAAATTTCCTTAGCATTTGCTTGTCTGAAAAAAAAATGTTATTTATCCTTTTACTTATGAAGCTTAGTTTGGCTGGATATAAAATTCTTGGTTATAATTTCTTTTTTTAAAGATCCTGAATACAGGCCCTCATTCTCTTCTAGTTTGTAGGGTTTCTGCTGAAAGGTCCACTGTTAGCCCAATGAAGTTCTCTTTGTAGATGACCTGCCACTTTCCTCTAGCTGCCTTTAATATTATTTCTTTCTACTCTCTACTTCTATGGGACTTGGACCCTGGAGAATCTGATTACTGTCTTGGGGATGGTCATCTTGTATAATACCTTGCAGAGGTTCTCTGAATTTCCTAAATCTGAATTTTGATCTTTCTAGTGACATTGAGAAAATGTTCGTGAACATCATCCTCAAATATGTTTTTCAAGTTGCTTGCTCTCTCTCCGTCTCTTTCAGGGACACACATGTGTGGCAGGTTTGGTCTCTTTACATAATCCCATATTTCTTAAAGGTTTTCTTCATTCTTTTCTATTCTTTTTTCTTCATTTTTGTCTGAGCTGATTTGAATAACTGGTCTTTGAGCTCTGAAATTCTTTCCTCAGCATTGTCTATTCTGCTGTTAATATTTTCAGTTACATTATAAATTCTTGTAGTGAGTTTTTCAGCTCCATCAGATCAGTTTTTTTTAATGGTTATTTGATCTTTCAGCTCTTGAATAATTTTCTTGGGTTCCCTAGATTCCTTAAATCGGGTTTCAACTTTCTCCTGAATCTTGATGAACTTCATTGAGATTTTGAGTTCTTGTCTGTCTTTTTAGCCATTTTTGTTTGGCTAGAAACCACTGCTGGGGAGCTATTGTGGTCATAAGGGGTAAGGAGACACTCTGCGTTTTTGAATTGCCAAAGTTCTTGTGCTTTTTCTTTCTTATCTAGGAAGATTGATGTGCCCTTAACGGCGGTGTAATTTGAGTAGAGTCAATTGGTTTTATTTATGGATGTTTTCAGAGCACTAAGGCTTTGTGCAGGATCTTTATTTGTGGCTACTGCGGAACTACTCACAATAGCCCAGATATGGAAACAATCTAACTGTCCATCGACAGGTAAATGAATTTTAAAAATCTAGTACATATACATAATGAAATATTATTTAGCTATAAAAAGAATGAAATTCTGTCATTTGCAATAGCATGAATGAGCCTGGAGGACATTATGTTAATTGAAATAGGCCAGCACAGACGATAAGTATCACATGTTGTCACTCATATATTAGAGCTAAAGAAGTAGATCCCATAGAAGTAGAGAGTAGAATAGTGGTCACCAGAGGCTGGGAAGGGTAGGGGGAAAGGATGGGAAGAAGTTGGTTAATGGGTACAAAATTATAGTTAGATAAGTTATAATGTTCTGTAGCATAGGAGGGTGACTATAGTTAACCAAAATTTATTTTATATTTTAATATAGCTAGAAGAGAGGATTTTGAATGTTCTCAGCACAAAGACATGATAAATATTTGAGGTGATGATTATGTCAATTGCTCTTATTTGATTATTACACATCATAGACATGAATTGAAATGTCAGATGTATTTCATATACATATACAATTATTATGTATCAGTTAAAAAAATCTCAAGCCTGTCTCCTTTTCTGGCTATTTAAGCCATTTGGAACCATTTTGGGAAGGCTCCCTTGCTCTTTTCAAAAACATCCCATTATAGAAAAGATTTTCATAACCTCTTGGGGTGTGTGTGTGTGTGTGTGTGTGTGTGTGTGTGTGTGCGTGTGTGACATCATTGGTCTTGACATCCAAATCAAATTTTGGGCAGGGATTCATCCTGTTTCTTTAGGATGGCGATTAACACCATCCTAATGTAAGATGTTAACATTAGGGAAAACTGGGTGGGGGGTATTCAAGAATTTTCTTTCTTTGCAATTTTTCTGTAAATCTAAAACTGCTCTAAAAGTTTATTTTTAAAAAGTCATTGCATGATAGTTCAAGATGACACAGGTATAAAATAACTCTGTCTTTGGGGTCCATGCTGACTTCTAGGTGAATCTATTTCTTCAAGAAACCATGTAGTTTTGCCAGAAAACTCTTTGCCTAGGTATAAGAAAGATTAATTTTAAGCCAAATTTCACTGTAGAGTAAATTGGGTTTCCTGGTGATTTACTTTCATTAGACAATTTTCTTTTAGCAAAGCAGATAATAGATTTGTATTTTTTCCTGAATCAGTCCTGGAGATGGCAATTTCAGAGAAATGGCTACCCCTTGCATAGCCTTTGCACTTTGATCTGAAATAGTAATAACCTTATGATTATTGCTCCAAAATGTCTAAAACATAACTCATAAAACACACTTGATCTGTGCTGGTTTTATAAAGGGCATGTGTAGTTCAGAGCAGAGGTCTAATCATTAGACTGAATAAATTGCTTTCATGGCACATTGCTTATATTTCTGATAGTACCTATGTATTTGCAGCTTGTATAATAAGGTAATCTTACATACTAATACCTGGAGAAGTACTAAGTCCCTTCTAGGCATTATCCCCTTTACTCCTCACAGTACCTCAGAGGGAGGTACACTGGTTTTTAAATGAGAAAACTAAAGCCTAGTAGAGGCTAAGTAACTTGCTTAAGGTCTCCCAGATCATAAGCCACAAAGCTGGATTCAATTTCAGATCTGTATGACTGTAGACCCTGAGCTTTTCCCAGTAGAGAATAGCACTTGTTATTTACACACCAATGTCCCTCAACTAGGCTTGAATTCCTTATGAGTGAGGACTGTGTTTTATTCATTTTTTGATCCCCAGATGTAATTTAGACCCATACCTGAAAAAATGTACACTGTATTTATTCTTGCTTTTCCTGTAATACATAAGCTTGGTTACCTCAATCACATGTAAGAATAATCCTCCTGATTGTTTTTAGCTTATCAAGTAATCATAATTATTATGGGGAATTAATACTGACAGAAGCCTTTGCTTACAGAATTAAATGGAAGAAAAAACTCATTCCTGATGGTATATGCTGCTGAAATTCAGTTGTGTTGTTGCCCTAAATTATAGCTTAGCAATCACTTTTTCCTCTGCTGGGAAAGCCATTCTTGACATGCTTCCAAAAACTCAGGTAGAGGAGAGCATACAAGAGCTTTTGTGGGAAAGCATATGAAATTATTATTCTTTGTCTCTGGATTCTGGATTATGATCTTGCTACTAAAATCTAAGCCCTTTAAAATTGCTATTAGATACCTGATAGCTCTCCATTATGAAGCAGTGTAGTATGTAATAACAATTTTATAACTTAAAATATTTCTGTATCAAGAGCCATCAGGTTAACATAACAAGAACTATATGTCAGATTCTGTGGAATTGTTTGTATTCTATCCTGATAAAATGAATCTGGCATGAAGTACTATTCTTTCTTTATCTGAATAAGTGCTTTATCATCACAGGTATGAAGTGGATTAGATCCTGCTCTCTTAACATAATCAAAAGAAAGCACTTCCTTTGTTACAGCTAGTAATGTTCTAAGTGATGTGCTGCTTCAGATTTGTGGAGGCCTTTCAACCAAATCCAGGGCATGCTGTTTTGTCTATGGGTTCTCTCTCTCTGGTCTTGCATAGGGTGGAAAGTCATTGCAACTCTTTCATCAAATTGAATTAAATTGCTTAAGTCTTTGTAACCTATATGAACTCAGATATCCTTGTGCAATTATAGTGTTCAATATTCAGGACTCACAATAAGGAAAGTACCTGGTTTGAACAGGTGCTAGGTCATGAGGGAGCAGTGCAGGCGTGAAGCTGAAACCCCCCATTTCTAGTCTTTGTTCTGCTGCTAGCTCACTCTGTGACCCTGGTCAAGGTCTTTTACTTCTTGGAGAACTGAATTCCTCTTATGTAAAGTGGGGAAGGCGGTGCAGGTGATCTCTGAATATAATATTTTATAGCTCTGGAATTGCATTGTAGGAGTGAAGTTCCTCTCATATGGTCTGCGAGAACTTTATACTCTGATTTCATTAATAATAAGTCTGAATTTCTGTAGTTCTGAGTTCTGGAGGTAACACAATTGTCTGAAAATAATTTATGTACTTAGATTTCGATTTGGGGAAATATATTAGGAAAAATGTTTAATTTGGTCTTATTTACAATTTTCATGGAAGTATATAAATAACAAAGGGAAATCAGTAGCGAAAAGGTATGTGACTCTATTAGGTTCAACTCCTTCCCCCAAAAAATTTTTGGCTCAATGAAGAGTCTACCTATTTACTTAGTTGACTTTCTGCCACTGAAATACATTTTAAGGCTGTTGCTCAACTATTGTTTCCACAAGTGCCTGTTTTGGAGGTATATCTTGGGTTCTTTATTCCCTGACTTGAAGAAATAGACTTACCTGGTGAAAGGGACTCATAGAAAGCACCAGACTGTGACATGGGTGTGGGAGTACCGTATAGATAAGGGTAAGGGGAGTTGGAGAAATGAGTGATTAGAAAGCATTTTGGAGGTGCTGATGGGATTTGGAAGTGAGTTTTTATTCAAGATAGGGGAATAGTAAATCAAGTTTTTATCTTTGGCCATGTCCTTGGGTAGGCAATAGTCTGGACAGGTACAGCTAACTCTCAGCCTGTGGAATTCCAGAGCATTCTGGCATTTCTGCCCAACTGAACGCAAGTAGTGCTACTGTCAACGATAAAGAGATAAAAGAGTTCTCCTCCTTCTTCCAAGACTTAGAACATGCTTTAATGCTCTGGAAAGCTGGGAAACTGAACACAGGTGTAAATGTTAAAATTATAATTGCTGACAGTTATTAAGAATTTTCTGAGCTCTTGGAACTGTGCTAAATTCCGTTTGTGTATTATCTCATTTCATTCATGTATTCATTCATATTTATTCAATATTTATTCAACAGCTACATGCCAGGCACAGTTTTGACACTTAGAACATAGGAATGAACAACATATAAGAAATCCCTTTTTTTCATGGACTTTATACCCAAGTCAAGTACCCATTAATATAAGGGTGAAGAGGGACATATAATAAATATATTTCTAAGTTATATAATACATAAAGTGATGGAAATTACTTGAAGAAATTAGAATTTGAAAGTTAGGAAATATTGCATATGTTAATATATACAAATAATTTTCAATGTGGTGGCTAGGGAAGTCCTGATTGAGAAGTCGACATCGGAATCAAAGGCTGAAGGAGGTAAGGAAGCAAGCCATGCAAACATCTCGGGGAAGAGACTTCCAGGCAAAGGGAAAAGCAACTGCGAAGATCCAAAGGAAGAACTGTGCTGTATGATTGAGAAGTAGTGGGGAGACTAGTGTGGCTGCAGCAGCAAGAGTATTAGGATAGTATGGTAGGAAATAAGTTCATAGAAGAAGGGGTCAGATAATGATGGGGGTTGGGAGGAGATTATGAACAGATTTTGAAGGTATTTCTATTTGAAGAGGGTTTTGAACAGAGAAGTGTCATGATCTGGCTTAAGTCTTCACAGTAATGCAATGAATGCAGTGCTGATAATAGATTTTTGGGATACATAGGTGGAAGCTCAGAGATCAGTTAGGAAATTATTGCAATAATCCAGGTTAGCGTGTCAGGGTGGTTACAATGAGGTTGTAAAAAGCGGCCAGATTCGTATCTTTAAAGGTAGAAACTACAGGATTTGCTGACATTTTGGATATTTGATATGAGAAACAGCAACGAGTTAAGGTTGATTTCAAGGTGTCTGGCACAAGAAACCATAAGGCTTTTATCTTGAGGACAGGTAAAATGGAATTGTAGTATACTGAGATGAGAAAGTCAGTAGATGGAGCAGTTTAGGAAAGGCGAAAAATCAGGAGTTTGATTTTGTATATTTCAAATTTGAAATGTTTATAATGTATCCAATTAGATATTTCCAGTAGGCAATTGTATATGCAAATTATTTAATCCTCTCAACAACCATAGAAGGTATGTTTTATAATTATTCTGATCACAGAGGGGGCATGTAATTAATATCCTGATTACAGATGTTCAAGGGCACATAAATAGTAAGCAGTTGAGTAGCCATTTGAATCCAGGTACCCTGAGTCCAGAGCCATGTTACTCACCCTGTAGATTTGCTGTCTTTCTCAGCCGTCTAATCAAACTCCCAACAAGGTTTTCTGTAGAAATTGACAAGATGATTCATAAACTTATATGGAAATGCAAAGGTCTTAGATTAGCAAAAACAATTTTGAAAAATAATACAGTTAGATGAATCTTACCACCTAACATTAAGACAATATAAAGCCATAGTAGACAATATGATATTTGTGTAAGGAGAAACAGCAACAACATTTTTTGAAAGCCTGTAAGTAGAGACACATATGCAATCAATTGATTTTTAATAAGTTTCAAGGTAATTCAATAGCAAAAGCTTTGTATTTTTAATAAATAGTGCTGAAACAACTGGACATCCATATGCAGAACCCCTCACAATCTCTATTTTATGCCATATAAAAATTAATTTGAAATATATTACAAACCTAAACATAGGAGCAGAAACAACAAAAATTCTAGAAGAAAACAGGAGACTATCTTTGTGAACTTTGGGTAGCCATAATTTTTGACAGAACATAAATAGTACTAAATATTAGAAATATAATTTAGGCTTTTCTACTAAAATTAAAATCACCTGCTCATCAAAAGGAACTGTTAAGAAAATAAAAAGAGAGGAAAAAATGGCCAATAAGAGGCAGGATTAACTTGCAGCTCCCACTTGGACAGACAGAGCAGCGTGTGGAGACTCACACTGTGAACTTTTGCTCCAAGAATCACTGCAGGAACATACCAGGAAAGCTGAGAGGGTCCACAGACCCTTTGAAGGAAGCGGATTGCTGCTGCAGGCCGCTGGAGACAGCCAAAACACTGTGAGTGACCAAAGGGTGAAAGGGTGAAAGTGTGAAAGGGCAGTCGTCTGCCCCGGAACACACACCCTCACTGGGGAACCTAAAAGTCTAGATCACAGGAGTAGGACATGACCTTACCTGGAGTTGAGAGAAACTTAAAGAGCCAAGCAAAATACAGGGGTAGAAGAAGCAGCGGGAAGAGCCCTGTGGGCACTCTTGGTCCCCAGGGAAGCTATTTCCGACTTTGTCTTACAGGGGTCCTTTGGGAGGACTGACAGAGGAACTGGGAAAAAAACACAGGGAGAAGAAAACTTCTAGCCGAACTTTGTAACAATTTTGACAGAATGTGAAATTTCCTGGACGGAGTCTGGGGGAGGGGGTGAATAGCCAGTGCAGGCACAGCACAGAAGTTGCCGCAGGCACAGGGTGGCACGAATCTTGAAAGCCCTGCTTTCTCAGCCAGGACGCTGGTAGCCTGGGCCAAGTTCTCAGTCCTGCATGCCTGCTGCCTGGAGATGACCTCAGTGCTGTTGGGTGGGGCAGTAGGAATGAGACTAGCCTTTTGGGCTGCATGGGAGTGGGGTGAGGCCTGTAACTGCTGGCTTTTCCCCACTTCCCTGGAGACCTGCATGACAGCAGATGCAGTCATAATCCCCCTGGGAACATAACTCCATTGGTCTGAGAACCATACCCCATCCCCCACAGCAGCCTCAGCAAGCCCCAACCAAAGAGAGTCTGAGTTCAGACATGCCTAACCCTGTCCCCATCATAGGCACATAGACCAATGAAACAGAATAGAGAATCCGGAAATAAAGCCAAATACAGCCAACTGATCTTTGACAAAACAAACAAAACATAAACAAAAACATAAAGTGGGGAAAGGACACCCTATTTAACAAACGGTGCTGGGATAATTGGCAAGCCACATATAGAAGAACGAAGCTGGATCTTCATCTCTCACCTTATATAAAAATCAACTGAAGATGGATCAAAGACTTAAATCTAAGACCTAAAACCATAAAAATTCTAGAAGATAACATTGGAAAAACCCTTCTAGACAATGGCTTAAGCAAATACTTCATGACCAAGAACCTAAAAGCAAATGCAATGAAAACAAAGGTAAATAGATGGGACTTAACTAAACTAAAAGGCTTTTGCACAACACAAGAAACAATCAGCAGAGTAAACAGACATCCCACAGAGTGGGAGAAAATCTCCACAATATATACATCTGACACAGGACCAAAATCCAGAATCTACAAACAAATCAGCAAGGAAAAAACAAACAATCCCCTGTAAAAGTGGGCTAAGGACATGAATAGACAATTCTCAAAAGAAGATATACAAGTGGCCAACAAATATATTAGAAAATGCTCAACATCACTAATGATCAGAAAAATGCACATCAAAACTATAATGTGATGCCACCTGACTCTTGCAAGAATGGCCATAATAAAATAAATAAATAAATAAATAAATAATTAAAAAACAATAGATGTTGACGTGGATTTGGTGAAAAGGGAACACTTTTACACTGCTGGTGGGAATGTAAACTACTATAACCGCTACAGAAAACAGTGTGGAGATTCCTTAAAGAACTAAAAGTGGAACTACCATTTGATCCAGTAATCCCACTACTGGATATCTACCCGAAGGAAAAGAGGTCATTCTATGACATAAGACGCTTAAGACACTGCATGTGCATGTTTATAGCAGCACAATTCACAGTTGCAAAAACATAGAACCAGCCTAAATGCCCATAACAGCAAGTGGATAAAGAAAATGTGATTAATATATATAAATATACACCATGGAATACCACTCAGCCATAAAAAAGGAATGAAATAATGGCATTTGCAGCAACCTGGATGGAGTTGGAGACTATTATTCTAAGTGAAGTAACTCAGGAATGGAAAACCGAACATTGTATATTCTCACTCATAAGTGGGAGCTAAGATATGAGGATGCAAAGGCATAAGCATGATACAGTGAACTTTGGGGACTTGGGAAAAGGGTAGAAGAAGGGTGAGGGATAAAAGACTACACACTGGGTACAGTGTACACTACTTGGATGATGGGTGCACCAAAATTTCAGAAATCACCACTAAAGAACTTATGTAACCAAACACCACTTGTACCCCAAAAACCTGTTGAAATAAAATAAGTAAATAAATAAAAGAAAGGAAACAATACTACATGCACATGCTTAAAATTAGATAGCATAGAAAAATTTTTTTTAAAAGAAAAAGATAAGCCCAAAATTTGGAGAAAATATTTGCAATACATTCACCTGACAAAATAATTCTATCCCCAAACAACGTGATGCCCAAACTGTAACCTAAGGAGACATAAAATAATTTAACATCAAACATGTATTACAATGCATAAATGAAGTAGTCAGATGTGTATAATTAAAGATAGAGCCATTTTGGATATGACAGGTGTCATTCAGAATGATACCAGGAAGAGAGTTGCTGTCCTTGTCATGATTTTCTGAAACAGAATTACTGCAAGGCTCTGAACAAAACCATTTAAAGAACTCTCTTCCTTTTATTTTCGTGGTAGTTGAATTCCAAAAAATTTCAATATATATTAAAACGATATAAAATATACTTTGTTTTTATGCATATAATGCAATATGTTTCTTGGCTTGGGTTATTATTAAGCTTTTCACAACCATAAGAAATCCCTATGAAACATTAAAAATTTGAGCAGGCTGTAATTCTTCAATGTGTGAGACTCTCCAACTCATTGCAGATCCAGACTTATAAACACTTTTAGGGTTTCTTAATCATGGTGACAATTAAAAAGAAAATCTCCCCTACAGATTTCTAAAATGTTCCCTAGAGGGTAATACTACTTCTAAAGAGAACCACTGTTCCATTACACAACCAAGAAAAACAGAAACATTTTCTGGCTTGGGCAGTACCTGAATGGGGAATTCTCTGTTCCTGCTGCCTTACTTCTTCCCACAGATGAATGCATAAGTAAAGGCCTACTGGTTTCTATGTTTTAGATACTTATTTATTATTTTAGAAATAGAAGTGTTCTATTAGCAAAATGATGGAGACCACCGTTGCTGAGTTGCTGCCTGGCACATATAAAGAAACCAAGAGCTGCTTCCTTGGTTGACTGCTCATAAAAACTGACATATTGGATACTTTCAACCTTGACAATTAATTAAATACATTTAGAGGGGTGCCAGATTAAAAGCGAGCCCTGCAAATGGTTTGGCATAGATGAAAGGACCCTGCAAGCTAGACCCATAAGTTCCACTGGGCTTCAGGTTAACAGTGCCTGGGACCCTTGCTCTCCCTCCTGGTTTGAAAAATGCCCTCAGAGCTTCTGTCTTTGGTAATGGCTGTGCAAAGAGACTTTGCGTTTCAGAGCAACCTCTTCTTGAGAGGTATCCAGAAATAGCACTTCTCTTGTCTCTCTGTGGTTTTGTCACTAACATAAATCTTGTTTTCCATCTCATATGTATTCAGTATGAATAAACCAGTTGGAAAATGGCATGATCTTTTCATCAGGCATATAGTTGTATTCATGTTTTTGATACAAAAGCATGGATCACTCACTTGGAGTGATTGCAGTACTTAAGCTTCAATCTCAAGGTGCTGTAGACAGTCTCTCAGCTCATTTAAAAAAAAGGGGGGCAGGGGAATCAAACAATTTCAGATAGACACTCTGAACATTTTTCAACCACAGCCCCCGCTTTGAAAATACCACTTCTGATTGGGGCTTTCAGCAGCAGCCTCTGCCATAAACAAATAGTGACTCATTCTGATATTGTGTTCTTGGGTTTTTGCAGATATTAAAGTCTTAGTAATATGTGTCCAATAGAGTCAAGCTAGCAATAAAATGATCCAGAATGATGGTGAAAACTCCTTTTTATTTAATTCCACCTGGAACCACAAGAAAGCGGTAATTTGAAAACTCAGTGCGTATGCCTTTCACTGAAGAGAATATCTTCATTTCCCTTTACCCATTAAAAACATTTCCCCAGATGCCCTGAAAGTCAAAGCTGCAGGGGTCCATAAGGTGTCAGTACAGCATCTAATCTGATAACTAAATCTTCCTTGCAATCTACCATGAAGACTGAAACAAACCCATTTTTATTAGAGAACATGTGAGATTTGTAAATGGGACAGACCTTTGGAGACCCTGGTAGGGGCAGAACCCAAACACCTGCATTTTAAAACTGTTCACTCCTAAATATTAGAAGTCTTCTTCCCCGGTACCAATGCCTTAGCTCTGATTTGGTTTCCATTCTCAATACCATCATGTTCATTTTTGTTTGTATAGATAGCACTTTGCATAAATTGTTTTAAAAAATGGACTTCAAGAACTGAGAGAAGTTCTTCCAGTTGTCTTCTGACTGGTGAGTGATAGAATGGAACTTTCATGACTATTTTTTTTTCTTTTGGCTGAGCCAATATTATTTTCTTTAAGTTTTAGTGGCAATTAGTTTTTGAAGAGACTGTCTTCATTGAACACAAAAACATTAAAGAAAATTTAACTTTGTAAGTCAGTTGTACAACCAGTCTCTGCCATTTTTTTTTCTGCCTGGGTTTTCCCTACTAGAAGTGAGTAAGAAGGACTGATAGGGAGAAGTCAGTGATGAGTTTCTTTAAGATGGCACCAATGACTAATTTCATCATTCAGACCTTCAGCAGTCAGTCACTGGATACAATAGACCAGGAAAGAAGAAAAATATTGTCAGGATATGACCAAACATCAGAATAAAAGTAGGCACATATCAATTATGTTTTATTAGATAATCTCATCCATAGGGGGATGAATAGTGTTGTGTATCTCACAGGAGACAGCCTTTATTGAACTCTGCTAAGCAGTACTGTTCAATTATGCTGGATTAGCAAATCCATCTTTGCCTCTGTTATGCTACAAAGAACTATAACTGGATTAAAGCAGCCTATAAACTTGAATATGGGGAAATTAATTCTCTAAAATCTTGGTCTGTTGTAAATAATAAATCAAATCCAACATGAGAGAAATATTATTAGATTAGATCCAATCATGTGTTCTGGTCTCTAACCTTGCACCAGAAGGTATTTGTCATTGTGTAGTATGTCCCAGAGAACCCACAGGATTAAGGTATATGTACGCACTTTAAATTTTTTTTTTTTTTTTGGCTGGGCACAGGGGCTCACACCTGTAATCCCAGCACCCAAATTGGGTGGATCACCTGAAGTCAGGAGTTCAAGACCAGCCTGACCAACATGGCAAAACCCCATCTCTACTAAAAATACAGAAATTAGCTTGGTGTGGTGGCAGGTGCCTGTAATCCCAGCTAGTGGGGAGGCTGAGGCAGGAAAATCGCTTGAACCCAGGAGGCAGAGGTTGCAGTGAGCTGAGATTGCCCATTGCACTCCAGCCTGGGTGACAGTGTGAAACTCTGTCTCAAAAAAAAAAAATTTTTTTTTCTTTTTTTTTAACTATTGATATTGGGGCAGATAATGGAACTCATAATAGTCTTCAGTACATATCACATTATCATAATGGATTCATGCAAAGTTTTATGACTTTTTATTTTTTCTATCTAATGTGTTTGCTTTATATTCTTACATATATGTATTTATATTTATGTATTCTTAAATATATATTCTTGTAAAATATATGGTATTGATTTTTTCTTAATTTACATAATTTTGCACTATAAATCACACTCTGCTCACTTCTTACAATGTTTTTAAGATCTGTCAACATTATTGTATATGCATCTACTTTGTTGCTTGTTAGAGCTGCATAGTACTCCATGGCATACAATTCCATTTTACAAATCTTTCACCCTAAAAATAAATATTGAACATACCCTTTATTTCCATCACCATAAACAATGTCACAATGAACATGCTTGAGTGTATGCCCTTATGAATCTCTGAGAGAACTTTCCTGGGAGATGGATATTCAGCAGTGGGATCACCGAGTCCCACTTATACATATACTTAAGTATAAGTCATACTTATACTTATACTTAAGTATACTTATACTTAAGTATAAGTCATACATATACTTAATTTTTCTGAACACTGGCATACTTCTTTCTGGCCCAGCAGGATCAGTTAATTATTGTTCCCATTTGCAGTGCACCAGTGTTCAAGTCCATGGCTTCCCAACATTAGATATTACACATCTTCCTGATTTTTGCCATTCCAATAAATACACATTGATTTTTTCATTGTTGACTTAACTAGCATTTTTTCTACTAATTGTGTTTTGAGCATCTTTTTCTGGCCTTGTTAGTCAGGTGAGCTTCTTATAGTTTTCTATTGTGTTTACTTTTTCTTTATTGTCAAGAGATCTATTTTTATAATTAAATATTATTTTCTTATTAGTTTTAAAGGTTGCGAATATCTTCTCCAAGTCTTCCAATCTACCCATTATTTTATTATGTACTTTAGGAAATCTTTGGTTTTAATGTAGTCAAATCCATTTTTAAAACTTATAGCCTTTTGAATAATTATTTTAGAATGTTTACCTACAAATTTGATCAAAAATATGTTATTTTACATGTTCTTCTGTTTTTTGGTGGTTTGATATTTACGTTTGGTTTTTAATTCATTTATTTCTCACTTGGTGTGCTGTTAAAATGTAAAAGTCCAGCTCTATTTTTCTTCATATCTACTTTTTCATAACATTGTCGACTGAACAATCCATTCCTTCATCATTGCTTTGTGGGACTATCTTTATCATATATCAAAGTTTTCATATGTGCAGGGATTATTTCTATTTCTTCTATTGCATTTTATTAACCTATTAGTCTAAATCCATTTTCTGTTTCTGTATTGGTATCATATCTCTTTTTAGAATTGCTATAGTTTAGTAATATATGTTAATTTCTAGTAGGGTTAGTTCCTTGTCTTAGTCTACTTTTTCAAAGTTGACTTAACTATACTTTTTTTTTTTTTTTTGAGACATAGTCTTGCTCTGTCGCCCAGGCTGGAGTGCAGTGGTGTGATCTCTGCTCACTGCAACCTCTGCCTCCCAGGCTCAAGTGATCCTCCCACCTCAGACTCCTGAGTAGCTGGGACTACAGATGTGCACCACCACGTCTGGCTAATTTTTGTACTTTTTAGTAGAGATGGGGTTTCACCATCTTGCCCAGGCTGGTCTCAAAATCCTGAGCTCAAGCTATCTGCCCACCTCAGCCTCCCAAAGTCCTGGTATTATAGGCAAGAACCACCGCACCTGGCCTGACTTAGCTATACTTTGGCTTTTCTTCTATATAAACTTTAGAATGAGTTTTTAAATGCCTCCAGCTGTACTTTCTATTACTATTGTGTTGAACTGACAGATTAATTTGGGAGAGAATTGACCTCTATCCCATATTAACTATCCCATGCATAAACATGGCATAATGCCCAATTTATTCAAATTTTCTTTTATGTCCTTTAATATAGTTAGAACATTTTCTCTGAAACGTTTTATGCATTTATTATTGGGGTTATTTCTGTATACTTTACATTCTTTATTGGTATTGTTAATGATATCTTGAGACTGAGCACATTTTGTGAAATAAGGTAAATCAAAAGGTCTTATTTGTGGTAAACTTTCTGGCAAAAAATATATGTTGAGTTGGTTGTATTTGTAGAAGAATGAAATGTTTTATACTAATGACCACTCTGCAAAGGTGACTTGTGCCCATTTTTCTGGATTGTCACCAGCACCAAGCACTCTTCTTGTTTGATGCTAGAGACTATGCTTCCCCATATCTCCTTCAATTGGAGAGAGAGATATGAGATTTGGGAGGCAGAAGTAAAGCAGGCATCATTATTCTCAGTAGGTCATGGCAGTCAGATGGGGTCGAGGTCAGACTCAGTGGCTTTGACAGACATGGCAGCTTTGCTGACCTCTTTATAACCCCACACACTGCATTCTCACTTTGGTAGCCAAATGCATGGAATTTCATATGCTTTTCCATAAGCTCTGGCTTTTCACCTGTGCCAGAGCTTCAGTTCCTTCTAAGACCTTCACTCCCTTAGCAACACTCAAATCTGGGTAAGTCATAATCACTATACTAACCCCCTTATTCTGTGTCACAGTGACTCTGTTTCCCTGAGTGAACTGAGACTGATACACGCATACTGATATTTTCTGTCTGGGTATGTGAAGAAATTCTTGAAACATAGAACATTTCCTTACAAAAATATAGAGATTAGTAAAGAAGTAAAGTAAGTTTCCTGGCCTTGGGGAATTTCTGGGGCAATTCATGTTGGCACTCACCCATTTGTTCATATTTTTCTTGATAAGAATAAAAGGAGAATGATAATGTTATTTGGATTTTTAAAAATTGCAAAGCCACAAAAGGACAGCTATAAAATTGTCACTTAATAAATAATTTTTTTGCATCTTTTAAAGCCAAAATAAATATACACATACATGAAAAATTGATATATGACAATATGACATAGTTCTTTTTGGAAAATCAGTTAGGATAAAATAGGCATCTTAATAAAGTGCCTGGAGAAAATAAGTTAGTCCCTAGAATAAAATATAATTATAGCTCAAAATAAGCCATACCCAAAAAAATCCATTTCAGGTGAAATAAAACCTAAATTTGAAAACATCATTTAACAGCTTTAAATATGAGATTATATTTAAATATAAGGTTATATTTAAATAGTAATTATTTTACATCTTTATGAACTATGTGCCAAAAAGGATTTTTTAACCAAGACAAGAATAAACCACAGAGGAAAAGAGTAATGCATTTGATGAAATAATATTAAATGCTTATCTGTATCAAAACATACAAATAAGCAAAGCAAAAAGTTAAGTATAGACTGGGAAACGTATCTGCAGTCTATTTATCAAAGTATTAATTAGCATCTAGGATAGTTGGATAAATAACCCCAAAGGAGAAACTGGCAATGATTATGAACTGGACGTTCACAGAAGAGGAAAACTACGTGGCTTACACATACATGAAAATATGCTCAACTTCTCTAATAACAAGGACCACAACATGTAGCACTTTGCAGCTATTGAGTTGGCAAAGTGTTGGCAAAAACATGAAGAAATGAGAACTTGTCCAATGCTAATAGAAATAAAAACCAAGCAACCACTCTGGAGAGCAATTTGACAAAAATTAGTAAAGATAAATTTACATGTCCCCTTCCAGGCAGCAGTTCTGCTTCTAGGCATATACCTGAGTGAAACGCTGGCACATATGCCCAGGAGGCATGTGTAATAATGTTCATGACGTGTTTTTTGAAATATCAGTGAAGTGGAAACAGCCTAAATGTCATCCAGGGGAGAATGGATTTATTTTCATTTATTGTGCTATATTAATACAGCAGAACTTTATTCAGTGGGGACAATAAGTTAGAACTATTTTCAATATGGATGTTGCAAATATAGAGTGAAGAAAACAAGTTGTAGAAGGCTTTATCCATTATGGTATCATTTATATACAATCTAAAAATTGTGCCAAAATACTATATATTATTTAGGAATACATGGTCATGTAGTATAGTATAGAGACATTCATGGAAAAGATTAATACCTAACTCAAATAATAGTTACCTGCAGTGAGGGAGAGGAATTTGAATACATTTGTAGGGTGTACACATGGGCTTCAAAAACGTTCATCATCTTTTATTTCTTAAGTGGTAGATGATGGGTGATTTATTTTTTAAAAATGTTTTTTCTATGTCTAAAATTTTTTTGACCAAAAAAAGCCCCAGTAAAAGCTAAGTGATTCTTGCATTAGACTCATAGAGATGCTTATCCTGAAAAGTCCTCCCTGGGAAGACATTTTCAGGTGCTTATATTTTTTCATACAAGGGAGTCGACTGCTTAGGTACTAATCAATTTCCATTTCTCCACTAGACTGTGCATTCCTCCACCGCAATAATTATGCCTTATTATCTTTGTAACCCTGTAGCTCACATTAATCCTGACAACAACAACAAAAAATTTTATGAATGAATGAACGAAGTGAACATAAAGGTTAGAAACCATGGGTATTAAACACCTGATATTTATGTACCAGCTCAAATTGTTTTGGCAACCAGGTGGTCACATCATTCCAGTGTTTTTCCTCATGTTTCCCTAGGATTAATATCATTTTTCTTTGAGGACATATTTGATCTGTTACTCCTGAACAAGTATTACTATAATAAAGTTTTTCCTGTTTTATGGAACACTATTATTCATTAAAGTATGAATAAATGTACTTTAAACAAAGGGTCTCATGATCAAATAAATTTGGAAAACAAAATTTAAAAAGAGAAGATGATCTACCAAAGTCCTACAGCTAACATCATACTTAGTGGTGAGAAATTGGATGCTTTCCCCCTACAAGTGGGAACAAGACAGGATGTTTCCTCCCACCATTCTTATTTAAATTGCGCTGGAAGTGCTAACTAGAATAATAAGACAACAAAAAGAAAGAAAAATATACATATTGGGAAGGAAAAAATAAAATTCTCTTTTATTACAGAAGACATGATTGCCTGCGTAGAAAGCCCAAGGAAACAAACAAAAGCCGGAAAAATTAAGTGAGATTAGCAAGGCCACAGGTTACAAGGTTAATATGCAAAAGGTTATTTTTTTAACTTTTAAGTTCAGGGGTACAAATGCAGGTTTGTTATATAGGTAAACTTGAGTTAAGTGTGATTTTTGTACAGATTATTTCATCACCCAGTTATTAAGCCTAGTACCCATTGGTTATGTTTCCTGATCCTCTCCCTCCTTTCACCCTTCACACTCCAAAAGGCACTAGTGTGTGTTGTTCCCTTGTATGTGTCCTTGTGTTCTCAACAGTTAGCTCCCACTTATAAGTGAAAACATACAGCATTTCATTTTCTGTTCCTGTGTTAGTTTGTTAAGGATAATGGCCTCCAGCTCTATCTATGTCCCTGCAAAGGACATCATTGCATTCTTTTTTATGGCTGCATGGTATTCCACAGTGTATGCATACCACATTTTCTTTATTAAGTCTATCATCAATGGTCATTTAGGTTGATTCCATGTCTTTCAATTGTGAATAGTGCTGCAATGAACATATGCCTGCATGTGGCTTTATAATAGAATGATTTATACTCCTTTGGGTATATACCCAGTAATGGGATTGCTCGTTCAAATGATATTTCTGTCTTTAGGTCTTTGAAGAATCACCACACTGTATTCCACAATGATGTAACTAATTTACACTCCCACCAACAGTGTATAGTTTTTCCTTTTTCTCCACAACCTTGCCATTATCTCTTATTTTGTTATGTTTTAATAATAGCCATTCTGGAGCAGCCTGGCCAACATAGTGAAACCCCATCTCTACTAAAAATACAAAAAAAAAATCAGCCAGATGTGGTGGCGGGCACCTGTAGTCCCAGCTACTTGGGAGTCTGAGGCAGGAGAATCGCTTGAACCTGGGAGGCGGAGGTTGCTGTGAGCCAAGATTGCACCACTGCATTCCAGTGTGGGCAACACAGTGAGACTCTCTCTCAAAACAAACAAACAAAGCCATTCTGACTGTTGTTAGATGGCATCTCATTGTGGTTTTGATTTGCATTTCTCTAATTATCAGTGATGTTGAGCTTTTTTCAATATGGAAAAGTTAGTTGCTTTCCTATATAACAGTGATAAACAACTGGATTTACAAATTTAAAATACCATTTATGAAAGCAACAACAAAAAAGAAATACTTAGCTATAAATCTAAAAAAACATGCAGAAAATTATGACTGATGAAAGAAATAAAGATTTAAATTAATGGTGAGTTATTCTGTTTTTATGGATTGGAAGATTCTATCATTAAGATATCAATTATTTCCAACTTGATATATAGATTTAATAAAATTTTAATGAAAATTTCAGCAAGCTACTTTGTAGACATTGACACACTGATTCAAAAATTTGTGTGGAAAGTCACATGATCTAGAATAGCCAACACAATACTGAAGAAGAAAAATGAAATTTGAGGACTCACACTACCCAGTTTCAAGACTTACATTCAAGCTATAGTAATCAAGACAGTGTGGTATTGGTAAAAGAATCGCATGGGTAAATAAACAGAGTAGGAAGCCCAGAAATTGATTCACAAAATATAGTAAACTGGTTTTCAATAAAAGAGCAAAGGCAATTCAATAAAGGAAAGTCTTTTAAAAAATGGTACTGGAACAACTGGACATCTACATGCAAAAAGTAGAATCTAGACACGGGCCTTACTCCTTTCCAAAAAGTAACTCAAAATGATCACCAGCCCAAATATTAATTGAGAAACTATAAAACTTCTAGAAGATAACATAGGCAAAAATCTAGGTAATCTTGGGTTTGGCCATGAGTTTTTAGATACAACACCAGAAGTGTAATCCATAAAGGATAAAATTAGTAAGTCAAACTTCATTAAAATGAAGAACTTCTTCTCTGTGAAGGACACTGTTATGAGAATAAAGCACAGGCTACAGATTAGAAGAAAATATTTTAAAATGCATATCTGATAAAGAATTTGTATCCAAAATATACAAAGAACTCTTAAAACTCAAAAATAAGAAAACAAATTATCCAATTAAAAAAATTGCCAAAAGATCCAACAGACGCCTGACTAAAGAAAATATACAGATGGCAAGTGAAAAGATTCATTACTGAAATCTCAAATTAAAACAACAATCATATATACCACTACCCACCTATTAGAATGGCTAAAATACAATCTGAACAAACGAAAATGAAAAAACCCGAGAGTAATAGTTGCTGGGGAGGGTGCAGAGGAACAGGAACTCTTATTTTCATTGATGAGAATAGAAAATGGCACAGCCACTTTGGAAGACATTTTGGCATTTTCTTACAAAGCTAAACATAAACCTACCACACCATCCAGCACTTACATTCCTGGCTTGAAAATGTATATATGCACAAAAACCTACACATATTTATAGTTGCTTTATTCATGGTCACCAAAATTGGAAGCAACCAAGATGTGCTTCAATAGATGACTCTATTAAAAAATGGGAGTAGATCCATACAGTGAAATTTTATTCAGTGAAAAAATAAATCAGCTACTAAGCTAAGAAAAGGCATTGTATTAGTCTGTTCTCATGCTCCCAATAAAGACATACCCAAGACTGGTTAACTTATAAAGGAAAGAGGTTTAGTTGACTCAGAGTTCCACATGGCTGGGGAGGCCTCACAATCATGGCTGAAGATGAATGAGGAGCAAAGTCACATCTTACATGGCAGCAGGCAAGAGAGCTTGTGCAGGAGAACTCCCATTTATAAAACCATCATATCTTGTAAGACTTATTCACTACCACCAGAACAGTATGAGGAAAACCACCTCCATGATTCAATTATCTCCACTTGACCCTGCCCTTGATGTGTATGGATTATTATAATTCAAGGTGAGATTTGGGTGGAGACACAGCCAAACCACATTAGATATGGAAAGCACTTAAATTCCTGTATCTAAGTCAAGTAGTGAGTCTGAAAAGGCTACATATTATATTTACTATATTATTCTAATTATATGAGTTTCTGGAAAAGAAAAAACTCTAAAAATAGTAATGGAATCTAGAGATGGTTGCCAGGAGGTCAGGGAAGTGGTGGAGAGTTATGGTGAAGCACAAGGCATTTTTTACTGTGATGAAACTGTGCTGTGTTATAATGTAATGATAAATGTATCACAGTATACATCACTCAAAACCAATAGAACCTTATAGCCCAAAGAGTGAAACTTAATGTATTCAACTAAGCAAAAATCATTTAGGAGACTGAGAATCTTAGATGAAAATGCAGACTGTAACAAGGGAAATTAACTATAACAAATATATGAAACAACCTTACTGAAGGTGGTGAAAGGGAAAAGATACACCTAACTAATTTTGGAAATGATAGAATCTGTAAAACCAAGTAAAAAATAAGCATATGCAATGTAGCTCTAGTTAGTAAAGTTGTTTCCCACGAGGGTACAGGTTAACATTTCCAGTGCTATTATATACATGACAAAGACTCTCTCCTTAATCACATTTTACTCAAGCTCCTCAGAGCTCTCTTCTCAACTAGGCCTATAAAATCTGCAGACTTTCAGCTCAAATTACTTAATCCACCTCCTTCTTCTCCCCTACTAAGAGATGTAAACAAACACTAGCATAGTTTCTAATAGGTCAAGTTTGTGTCCCTAGGATAATGACTTTGGCCCCATTTAGTTCTTGTCTGGGAAAGATCAAGGCTGTCAAAACAATTTACTGTTTCATCCAGTACTTAAAGATAAGACCAATCTCAGTGAGAAGGCAGAAGCCTAACTTTAATAAGGGCCAGTTAGCAAACCCACATGGCGTAATCACATTGACCAACCCCTCATTCCTGCTTTTAAAAAATTTCTGTTCCATGGATTCTGTGGGAGCCCTGCTTTTTTTCCCTCCCTATTCCCTCGGTTATTCCCTTTAAAATGGCCAATCACCTCTGCACAAATCGAAGTTGAGTTCAATTCATGCTGGACTCTCTTCCTTATTGCAGTAGTTATGACTGAATAAATCTGTCTTAAATAAATCTGTCTTAAAAACTTAATTAGTTTCTGGCTTTGTTTGTCACTGACACATGTACAGTGAAAATTAATAATTAAATAAATGAATGGTACAGTAGGCTGAACAATGGCCCCCAAAGATATCAGACCTTAATACTTAATACTGTAAGTGTGACCTTATTTGGAAAAAGTCTGTTTGCAGGTGTGATCAAGTTAAGGATATTGCGATGAGGAGATTATCCTGGATTATCCAGGGAAGACCAACGTAATAATTGTGGGTATACTTATAAGAGAGAAGGAGAGACAGATTACATACAGATGAAGAAAAGGCAGTGTGACCACGGAAGCAGAATTGGAGTGATGTAACCAAAAGCCAAGTAATAGTGGCCACCACCCAAAGCTGGAAAAGGCAAGGAGCAGGTTCTCCCTTAGAGCCTCCTGAGTGAGTGTGTCCAGGCAGATGTTTTGATTTTGGCCCAGTGAAACAGATTTTGGACTTCTGACCTCCAGATCTGTGAGACCAAAAGTTTTTGCTGTTTTAAACCACCAAGTTTGTGGTAACTTGTTATAGCAGCAATAGGAAACTAATACAAATGGTGAATGGTGGCAGTCTGTTTTCTCACTGTTAGAGTGGGAGTTTAGACAAGCAAGGGAAGAAAGCTAGAATGAGCCATGTGTTACTAGTTTGGAGTGGGAGACATCTAGTATGAAGTGATGTTTAGTTAATGTAGATGCAACTTATTGCATATAGAGATAGGCACAGACGCAAATTAGAATACACACATATATTTACTTGCTTTGTCAGCTGAGTGGTCCTAGAAGAACTGACACTCCAGTACCAATGAGTACACCTAGTGCACAATATGGTATTGTTAACTCTACGTACAATGTTGTGCACCAGATCTTTTCACCCATTAAACAGTAACTCTCAATTTCTCCCTGCCCCCAGTCCCTGGCAACTACTATTCTATTTTCCGTTTCTACGAGTTTGACTATTTTAGGTACCTCCCATAAGTGGAATTATGCACATTTGTCCCTCTGTAACTGCTTATTTCACTTTGCATAATGTCCTCCAGGTTCATCCATGTTGTCGCATATGATAGGATTCCCTTATTTTTTAAGGCTAAATAGTGTTGCTCTATCTATCTATCATTTATCTATCTATCTATCTATCTATCTATCTATCTATCTATCTATCTATCTATCTATCATCTATCATATCCATCTATGTATCTATCTATGTATCTATGTATCTATCTATCTATATATCTATGTATCTATCTATCTATCTATCTAATCTGTCCATTCTTTATTCATCTGTCAATGGACATTTAGGTTGTTTTCATATCTTGGCTATTGTGAATAATGCTGCAGTAAATATGGGAATGCAGGTATCTCTTTGACATACTAACTTCAATTCTTTTGGATATATACTCATAAGCTAGATCATATGGCGGTTCTATTTTCAGTTTTTTCAAGAACCTTCATACTGTTTTCCATAACAGTGTACCACTTTACATTGCTACGAAGAGTGTGAAAAGATTTCCTTTGCTTTACATTCTCACCAACACTTTTTTTTTTTTTTTTTTTTGTAATAGCCATCCTAGCAGAAGTGAGGTGATGTCTCATTCTGGTCTTAATTTGTCTTTTCTTGATTAGTGATGTTGAGCATCTTTTTGTATATTTAGTGACCACTTGTTTGTCTTTAGAGAAAAGGCTATTGAAGTCCTTGGCCTGTTTTTTAATCAGTATATTTTTGGTTTTATCCTCTGCCTATTTTTTAATTGATGAATTATTTTATTTTATTTTTTGATATTCAGTTGTAGGAGTTCCTTATGTATTTTGGTTGTTAAATCCTTTTTAGGTATATAGTTTGCAAATATTTTCTCCCATTATGTAGGTTGCTTTTTCATTCTGTTGATTAATTCTTCTGTGCAGAAGCTTTTTTGTTTAAAATAATCCCATTTGTTTATTTTTACCTTTGTTGTTTGTGCTTTTGGTATCATATCCAAGAGATCATTGCCAAGACTAATGTCATAAAGCATTTTTCCTATTTTTTTCCCCAAAATTTTACAGTTTGAATTATGGATTTATTTAGATCTTTGGTCTGTTTTGAGTTTGTATTTTTATGGTTTAAGATAAGGGTCCAATTTCATCCTTCTGCATATGGATATCCAGTTTTCCCAACACTGTTTGCTGGAGAAACTATCCTTTCACAACTGTATATTATTGATGCCCTTGTTAAAGATGAGTTGACCACATATGTGTGCATTTATTTTGGTGCTCTCTGTTTAGTTCCATATGTCTCAGATTTTGGTTTCTAATATCATTCTCCAAGTAAAAAAAGAGCTCCCTAGAGAAAGGGTTGATTCTAAGACTGGGGCAGAAATTATATAAGATGAGCGCAGAGTATCTAGTAGTGCCACAAAGTAAAGAAATTCCCCAAAAACAAAACAAAACAAAAATCCACACTGATAGATGTATGTCAAATGATATAGATGACAACTGAAAGTTTCCAAAGGCCAAAGATGAAAAACTGTGAGCAAGAAAATAAATAAATATTGGATTATAACTTAAAGTATCAAGTAAGAATCCATGAGTCCATACTAAGATAAGTAAATGATAGAATAAAATAAATTAGAGGAAAATAGAAACATCTCCCATGCAGAAGAATTTCAAATAAATTATATAGATTCTCTGCTTTTAAGGAGATGGTGCATAATTTGCACTCTTTAACTGCTGACTGTACATAGTGATTTCCTCTCAAAGAGTACAGTATGGAAAGGGAGAACACATGAGTAACTATAGTGGAGAAACAAAGCAAACACTACCTCAGCCAGGTGATCAAGTTAACATCAATAGTTATTCATGTTGATAGCATGTGCCATTGATTTACTGTGATAAAAATGTCACTTTGTGATCTTCCTCCCCAAAACTGGTAATCCTATTTGAATAATAAGAGAAATATCAGGCAATTTCAATGAGGGAGTGGGAGGGTAGGGAGACATTCTGCAAGATACCTGACTAGTATTTCTCAAAACTGTCAATGCAATTAAAAACAAAGTGGGGAAAATTGTCACAGCCAAGAGTAAACTAATGAGGATGACAACTAAGTCTAATGTAGTATCCTGAATGGGATCCTGGAATAGGAAGGGGGCATTAGGTAAAAATGAATAAAATCTGAATAAAGTTGTAAATGATTTTAGTTAATAATAAGGTACCAACATTTGTTCATTAATTATAATAAATACACCACACTGTTATATTAAAGTAGAGTTGGACAATAGTTAAAGTGCTAACCCTTGCAATAGGAGAAAGAGCCCTCAGTATAAAACTGGCTTACTCCATGCCATACGACATGGACAAGTGGGGATTCGTAGCCCAGGAGCAGGGTGGCTTACTAAGAGGAGACATCAGCAGTAAGGAGATATTCTCGCTAAACTGATCTTACAGGTTCTTGATGAAAGCATACCAGGGTGATCATTTGCTAAAGGTGGGGGATAAGAAATTTGGCCAGATATTAGGAATGATCAGACATCAAAAGTGGAGGATTCTTTCTAAACTGACTTAACAGGATTCCTGCTAAAACTGGACAATACAGGCCAAACAAGGACAGACATTTAAGTTCAAGGTCAAAGCCTAGTTGAGAAGAGGACTTAGAGGAGCCTGACTGGTTGAGGAGCGAGTTTGCCAGTACTAATATAAGATGTCAATAATGGGGGAAACTGGGAGTATTTGGGGATTCTCTGTATTGTCTTCTCACTTTGTAAATCTGAAACTGTTCTAAAAAAATTAAGTCAATTAAAAATTGCTTAGAAAATGTCAAAATGAGTTTCATCTGTAGGATTTCTCAGAGGTGTATCTGTGCTGAGGCAGTGCTCCACAGCCCTTTCAAGGGAACATGTTTTGGAAATGGATGGCTTTCTGCTTTCTGTTTTCTGCTTTCTGCTTTTCTGCTTTGTTTCTTTTTTTCTCAGTTTAGGATTCCATTAAAGTTAAGTCTGGAACATCTGTGTTCTCAGATAGAAATGACCCATGCAGAGATAACTGGAGAAATAAAAGACATTTTGTATTCTATATTTATGTCAAGAACTCTGCTCTAAACCATTTCCCTTGTTCCGGCACTTCCTCCTTTCCATATAAAAAGTGAAAGATGAAGCAGCTAAAAATAAATGAAATAAAACTAGGCTAAAACAAGTATTTACAGTATAGTCTTGCAGATCTGGCTGGCATACCACCCCAAAGGAAGTGCTTTTGTGAATTAAAAATAGCTAAGGCCGGGCATGGTGGCTCATGCCTGTAATCCCAGTACTTTGGGAGGCCGAGGTGGGTGGATCACAAGGTCAAGAGATCGAGACCACCCTGGCCAACATGGTGAAACCCTGTCTCTACTAATAATACAAAAATTAGCTGGGCATGGTGGCATACGCCTGTAATCCCAGCTACTCGGGAGGCTGAGGCAGGAGAATTGCTTGAACCCGGGAGGCGGAGGTTGCAGTGAGCCGAGATTGCACTGCTGCACTCCAGCCTGGCGACAGAGTGAGACTCTGTCAAAAAAAAAAAAGAACAGTTCAAGCTTTGCGAAAGCAAGTCTGTGGATTGCTCTAGGGAAGAATTCCCAGGAGGAAGGTGTGCTGTAAAGTGGCCAGAGGTGAGGCTGCTGGCCTCATTAGAAAAGTCTGAGTCTTCAAGCTCTCACCCTTCACCCAACCCTTTACCCTGCCACATTGCCAGTATGTTCCCAATGCCGCCTATGTCCAGTAGGAACACTGCAGTCAGTGATGGCAGGTTTGGCTGCTCCCTTCCTAGCAGCTGTGTACCTTGTTAGAGTGCAACTCACTGGCGCATTTGCCTTGTGAAGGTCCCACTAGTGACGCTGAATGAGTAAATGACCTGGGATGAAAGAAACGTTTCTCTGGTTAAAATGAAATTATTACTAGATTAAGCACAGAGTTCATGCACATTCTCATTTCTAGTTTCCCCTTCTAATATGATTTGACCAACATGGCACAAGCTTTGCTATTGTGTCAGGTTTAAAAGATGTCCTGGCTCAGAGGAAAGAGGAGCAAAGTCTGGTAAATAGATTCTGCTTTTCTTTTTTTTTTTTTTTTTTTTTGAGACAGAGTCTCGTTCTGTCGCCCAGGCTGGAGTGCAGTGGTGCGATCTCGGCTCACTGCAAGCTACTCCTCCCAGGTTCACGCCATTCTCCTGCCTCAGCCTCCCAAGTAGCTGGGACTACAGGTGACCCCCACCATGCTCGGCTAATTTTTTGTATTTTTAGTAGAGACGGGGTTTCACCATGTTAGCCAGGATGGTCTCGATCTCCTGACCTCGTGATCCGCCCGCCTCGGCCTCCCAAAGTGCTGGGATTACAGGCATGAGCCATTGCGCCCAGCAGATTCTGCTTTTCTGTGTAGTATGTAAGAAGAGACTATATTTATTGCATGCTTATTATGTTCCAATCACCATATGAAAAGCTTTGCATCATTTCACTCAATTTCACAGCAACTCTATAAGCTAAGCATCATTTCTGTGCCCATTCAATGGATGAGAAGTACTTGATCCAAGTGATACAGCTAAGGAGAATGGAGGCAGAGTTCTAATGCATGCAGTTTGCCTCCGGAGTCACAGAATTACCCACCATTGTACATGTCTTGATACACACAAAATTCGGACCTCAGTTTCCTCTTTTGCAAAACAAAGTCATGATTAAACAATTGAGATCTGGTCCTAGTTATTAATTCCTATGGGAATAGGAAAACATATCCCCAACAGGCATAAAGTTTTGAGGGAAATGAGGGCTAAAACGATTTTTTAAAATCAATGTATTCCTCTTGACATTACGAAAGGTTTTCATTGCTACTGAAAGAATCAACCATCTAACAGATTAAAATGCTATTAGGCATTCAAATAGGCTTTAGAATTGTGCCTTGCCAGGAATATGTTCATCAAGAATTGTGATTCACTGTGAAAATAGAGAAAATAATATACCCTCATTTTCAACAAATGAGTATGATTGGATTGATATAACTGTGTCTAACTAAGCAAGACTGAAAAATGCAGTAGGTAATGTTTCAATCTAGATAATCTCAGAGTGAAGCAGCTTCACATTGTTAAACATAAAATTAATCAGCATACACAAAGGGGGTAACTCTTGTAAGATAAATGACTTAGAGGGATTTGATTACTGCTAGGGAGTAATTGGGTGCATGTAATTAATGGCTGAAGAATAGGAAGAAAACAGGACATTATTTCAAGTTGAAGCTGTGCTCTAGGCAGAATGGGTGTGTATAAGTCAGAAGTCAAGGATATGTAGACATTTTTCAGTGGCACCATATGCAGGGATGCCTTAGAGGGAGGGTTTTTTCTTTTGCTATGAATCGTAAGAAATCACTTAAAGGCTGCTAGTGGGAGTATAAACTGGAGCAGTCATTTTGACTCTTTTATCTTTTGTTCTTCTCTTCCCATTCTCTCCTGGATGCATTCCAATCAGATTTTCTTTATCTTTTTCTTATCAGTGCATCGGGAATATTTGATACAATGGTTCATTCTCTCATTTTTGAACACTTTTACCTGTTGGCTCCTGGCACATACTCTCTTAGTTCTCTGAATTCACTGCTCCTTTTCAGTATCCTTCAGTGATTCTTCCTCATTGCCCTGACCTTGCCAAAATACAGAATCAGTGAGATAATCTCTAACAGTTCTCAACAGAAGGATGTTGTGTGTGTGTGTGCATGTGTCTCAACATTTTTAAATGTTAGGTGAGGATTCTCATAGGCAAAGCATAGTTGAGAGCTAGTCTGTGAGTTTTCCAGGTGGGTAGAGAAGTTTCAAGTACATTATGGGAAGTGGTAGTCATATATCTGATGAGATGGGCCTAGTGATAAACATATTATTGCCAATCTTAGGCCAATGAATTGAGTTCTCAGATCTATTTACTTAATTTGCATTCACTCCAAAAGTGATCTCATCCAGACATATGACTTTATATATTATTTATCTATGCACATATGATTCCAAAATGTATATCTTTAATTCATATGCTTACCTAAATGCTAAAACCTTATATCCATTTGCCTAATCAACTTAGAGAGACTGCACAAATTTATCATGCCCAAAATCAAACTCCTAATTTCCAACTGCCTCCTACCTCCTCCTGTCCTGAACTTTGCATGCCAATAAATCCTTCCTATTGTTCAGTCAGAAACCTTAAAGTCAGCCTCCAGCCTAGTTTTCATCACACTTGACTTCTGAGCAACCATCACACCTTTTCCTTTCTACCTTCATAACGTATCTAGAATTGACCCACTGTCACCATCCCTGCTGCTCCTACCTTAGTCTATGCCACTGTTTTAGTCTGTTCAAGCTGCTACAATACATTACCAAAAACTGCATGGCTTATAAACAACAGAAATTTCTCACAGTTCTGAAGGCTGGGAAGTCCAGGATTCAAGTGTTTTCAGATTCAGTGTCTGGTGAGGAGGGCCTGCTCCCTGCTTGGTAGATGGCGTCTTCTTCTCTGAGTCCTCCGGTGGTGGAAAGGGAAAACAACCTCCCTTGTTCCTCTTTTACAAGGGACAAATCCCCTGTTCATGAGGGCTCCACTCTCACAGCCTAGTTATCTCCCAAAGGCCCCACCTCCTAGTATCATCACATTGGGGGTTAGGTTTGGTTTCAATAAATGAATATTAGGGGGACACAAGCATTCAGATCATAGCAGCCATCATCATTTCTCCCCTAGATTACAACAGCCTCCTCTCTGTTCCTCCTGTGTCTTCATTGTAATCTATTACTAACATAACAGCCTGAGTCAGATCATACTATTTCTTTGCTCAAGAGCCTTCAATGTTCTCACTAGTTATTCACAGTAAAACACAAATTTTCTCCTGTAATTTACAAGGTCTTGCATCATCTAGGCCTTGTTTCAGCTCTAAACTCCTCTCTTAGCCTTTCTTTCTTGCTTACTCTGCTCCAGCTACATGAGCTTCTTTGCTCTGTCTCAACACATCAGCCATATTCCCCCCTCAGAGCCTCTGCATTTTCCTTTGCTTTTGTCTACAATGATATTTCCCCAGATATCTGCAAGGCTTGTCGTCATACCTACTAATGCATTATCTTAATAGTGACTACCCTATAAAAAATAGAGACAGTCCTCCTTCCATCCCTCTTTCTCTGCTTCATTTCTCCTTAGCATTTATTACTATCTAACATATTTCACATTTACTTGCATATTAGTTGTCTGAATTCCCCTACTAGGATGTAAGCTCCATGTAAGCTCCAATTTAGCAACTATGTGAATTCCCAGGTTGCTTAGCCACTCTTAAGTCTCAGTTTTCTCATCTATAGAATATCATCAAGATTACATCAGTGGCTGGAGAATATTAAATGACATAGTACATATAAAGTCCTTAGCACAGCACCTGGAATACTGTGTGCACTCAATAATTAGCCATGGTTTCAGGCCACTCACATAACCAGTGGATAGTCATGTCCCAACAACCTAGTAAAATCTACAGAAGGGTCCTGGTGATGTAGGTGATTTGCTTTGTACAATAATGGTTAATTCTGGGTGAAAACCACCTTAAATTTCATGTTCTCCTGGAACTGGATCAGTAGCTTATTCTCCCTAAATAAGATAGTATATTTGAAGACTTTAATAAGGAATGAACTACAACCACATCTGTATTAGCCTTTGGGCTAGAGCTAA
Source organism: Homo sapiens (assembly GCF_000001405.40). NCBI lineage: Eukaryota > Metazoa > Chordata > Mammalia > Primates > Hominidae > Homo > Homo sapiens. The sequence goes on along the minus strand of NC_000010.11, from coordinate 90,462,101 downwards.
GGTTTAAGCTGTAAAAAGTACTCCTAAGTCACCTCCCACAGGCGTCTGGTTTTGGGAACTCATTGTATTTGAGGGAACAAAAATTTCCAATTTGAAGTCTGGCTTTGTGGGCCAGAGACTTGTCACAGCCAACCTCTTTGATTGATTGCTAATGGTTTGCATATCCTGTTTGACTAAATGAGTGTATTTCAGTACAATTGGCTGGAGCCTGAGACGTTTGTGTGGAAGGAGGCGGATGATATATTTGTCTTTTTTTTTTTTTCATTGTTTCAGTGACATAGTTTCCTTTGTTTCAGTGAACCTCTTTATTTTGTCACTCCGAATTTTCCCACTTAGAATAATTTTGATCTATTTAATTATTTGCTCAGGCTACATTCCCAGCAGAGTTGTGGCCCTTCTTTCTATGCCTTGATCCTTGAAACATGTATCAATAGCATATTGGCAACTCAGACCTTAGTACTCTTCTACCTTCCTGTGGCCTTAAATATTCAGTAGAAGAAACATTTTCTTGTTTAGTCAGCTGGCCTAAGGAAATTTCTCATGTTTTCTTTGGAAACAAGTTAAATCAAGCTCAATCAATGTTACTGGAATATCCATTTAGGGATATTAGATCCAAAAGCATGGCTAGGGGTATCAGGAGGCTCCCTGGGGTGCTGAGGAAGAGGCTGGTCTGCGTACAAGGCGTTTCAAGCTGTGTGCCTTTATTTTTTAAAAAACCTCTTCTATCTCTTTCTACTATTTCCACTGGATATAATTCTGCCCATTATTCAAGGCTCACAGTCAACACTAATCATTTTCTCGATTTTCCTTTAATGAACTTTTCTCATTGTGCTGAGTTTCATACAGTTTCTGTCTAACTGTCATCAACCCTGTAAGGAGAGTTTGTGTTGCTTTTCTGTCTTAAAGGCCCTTTTGAAAGGTACTATGTCAAATTCATCTTTGCACACAATTCCAACTGTGGAAATTCTTATTTAATCATGTATTTACTTTCAGTTGGTTGACCTCACAGGTTTCAACTGTGGGCTCTAAATTTAAAAGGAGTTTCCTTTGGTCTGAGCTAACTGGATTCTTACAATATGAGAAAAAATAGCTACTACTATTTTCAGTTGACTTTTCAGTTACTTTTGGTTGCTTAGAAGTTCTGGAACTGTTTTGTGCCTTCCTCATTCTTCTTTGTTCTAATATTTTCTTTATAAGTTTCCAAAGATGGGTAAAGAATCTTGTCACAGATGCCCAAAGATCTCTTTTCTTGCTTATCCTTTAGTTTTCTGGTTGAGAATCCTTTTATCTCAAGGACCAAGGAAGAAATGCCAACCTCTCAGATCATATCCTGGAAGATGAAAGAACCAACTTTAATGCTCATTATTTTTAAATATGCTTTACAATTTCCAATATGGGGTCTAATTTTAATCTAATTCTACATTGTTTATTTTTCTTGCAAATTTTAATTTTTATTTGATATTAAATTCATATTGTTCATCATATATATAACAAAATAATTGACTATTGGTCAATAATTTCTGAATTCATTACAATTTAAAGTGACACCAAAAATTACTGAGGAAGAGTGATGTTTCAGTTATTGAATAGGTTTTATAACATAACAGCTGTTACACATTTGGAGATATAAAGATGCTGAAAACCTGAAATGTTCTGCTTAAAAATATGCTTTCTAATGTCCTTAATTAGGTCTTTGACAGTTTATATGTATAGTCATCCAGTGTTTCTGAGACAAAAAAAAGCATTTTTTTTTTCTGCTTTCTTTTTACTTCTGGATGCTGTTTCAAGTATGGTGGCATAAAAATATAGAAAAAACATCACCTTCTCTATGGCGTTTGTCTGCTGTCAGAAACTATAACATGTAAGTGATAAAGTGAACATTATAAATAATTGTTTTGAGTACTTTTTCAGACAAATAACCCCCTCAGTAGTACAATATATATTTTCCTTCCTATACTTCCTATACTTTCCCTGTTCTTCAGAATACAGTTTCTCTTCTACTATCTTTGTGGACTTTTCCACCCTTTCCCTATTTATTTCTCTTTTTTGCACCATTAGATATATTCCTGGTTAGTGTTCTCAATTCTTTTTTATTTATTTTTTAAAATCAAAAACTCATTAATTTATTCTTCCTCCATGCTAGTTACTCCAATCTGGCATCAGCTTCAATATCTTCTCTTGTCATCAAATCACAGAGCACAGAGCCTTAGAAATCATTCAATCCAACCATGACTTCATTTTACATATCTTTCAATACTGTTAAGGTTCACTCTCCTCTTCAGCCTTCTCCTTCAAGAGACACAGCTTTCTACCCATGGACATCTCTAGTTTCCCATAAATTCTTTCCCGTGTTGAGTCCAAGTCTTTTTACCTGCCAGTTATAGCCAACCCTCCTAATCTGGCCATCTGCAGCCACATGGAGCCAGTCTAATTCCTCTGCCATAAAGCTTAAGATTTTTGCTATATCAAACCTTTCTTAAATCTTCTCTAGGCTTTATACCTCTAGTGTCTCTAAATTGTTTTCATAACTTAGTTTTGAAATCCGTTATCACCTGGTTATCATTTTGCCAATATCCCTCTATCTGGGTTTCAACATTCTAGGTGTCACTGAATGTGCAAAGCCTCATAGAATTATTGATTCCCTTGATCTGAAGTTCCTTAACCTTTCTTTGGCCTAGGATTGCATTGAATTTTTTAATCAGTTGTGTCATATTTTGTCTCATAGCAAGTTTTGTGTTCATTGAAACTACTAGGTCTTTTCCTCAATAATTACTTTTAAAGTATGGCTTTCCTCACTCCATTCCATTTGAGCAATTTAATTTTTAAAACAGAGTTAAGGACTTTTTATTGAGGTCATTGTGAAATCATTTGTCATCTAATAGCAATTTTCAGCCTTTTATTTTGAAACAGTTAACAAGGAAGATACACTTTTACGTACAAGTGCCTACTCTAATTTTAACTCAGCCTCCTGATGTTCCAATCAAAAAACTGAAATGCAAATGAATGAGAATATTATTTGTTAATTTAAGGGAGACATAAAATTTCAGACTCTTTTGTTTAAATAAAAAAACTTGATAGAGCCATTTTATCTTCTTGCAACTGTGGGAAGAAAGATGTGCCTAGGATCTTATTCTCATTCAATAATAAAGATTAATAAATATTTATGCTTTCCAGAAAATAAAACATCAATGTTATTATTAGGATAAGACAATACATCATTGGTTTATAGAAACAGGCTGGATATCTTCATTTGCTCCACCAGGTCTACTCTTCAGCATTCTCTAACCCAATATGTGTGCCCCAGGGAAGCTAACCTGTGTGAACCACATCAAAGGCAGTTTGTCCTCTGGCTTCTGGTTAGGTTCAAAAGGTGGAAATCACCAGCAAGAGATTGGTGCTCCACAGGAATAAGAGTGAGGACGGGGTAGTATTTCTTCTGGCTCCCTCTCTTTATTGTCCCCAAAGCCTGGTTATGTCCCTCTACTAAAGGTCATAGCTATCTCTCTCCCCAGATTGTAGCAATAACTCTCTCTCCAACCCCTCCATGCTTCTCACCATTACTCACCATTACTTGCACTACTCCATCTCACTTGGATTTTTTTTTATCCTTGCTTACACTTTTGTAAAAGTCTGTTAAATTCTCTGTCCTCTTCTCCTTTCTTATGCCATCCATTTCCTGCCTGACCCTAAATGGCATGGTAATCCAACAGGATTATAGATTTTTAGAGTTGAAGATAACTTTCATGAGACATAGCTACTGTGCAGATTATTTACAATTGGCATGACTCTACTAATATTTGTCATGGGATGATTCAGGCCTCCCAGCTTTTTCTCTGTTCAAACTGTTGGAAACCTGTCATCCATCAGCAAGAGCCAACCTCATTTGGCCTTCACTTGGTGTGTACTTGGTTGTAAAACTAATGCAAATATGAATACTGGAATCACCTGTCAGTAATCAACTGCGAGGTGCTCATCCAGCTAAACCTCAGGCTGTGCATTTACCAAAATGAGGGGGAAAAAAAACCTAGACTTGCAGACCCTTGAGAAAAAGACAATTGACCTTGGAGGTCCATGGATGCCTGATTTGAGGCACACTGGCATAGCGAATAAGCACATGAACTTTGAAAACTTGTCAATGGTAAAATCTTAACTTGGTTACCTCTAACAATGTGATTTCAGGTGACTTGTTTGATGTCTCTGAACTTCAGGTTTCTTATCTGTATAAGTGAGACAATAGCAGTATCCACTTTATTGCTTGGTGGGTCAAATAATATTTTATATTTAAAAATCTCTGCTGTTTTGAAATCAGTCAACAATTATTTATTAAAACAAAAAAAAATATTTTGATAGTAAGATGAAGTCAACCATTCATTCACATGTCAAAAACAGACAAGGGTCTTTAGTTTCCTCACTAATAGAAATGAAAGAGTTAGAAAAGAGGTGGAAGTGAGACTCTGGGATTGTTTACCAAATTTTAAAAATAGTAACCTGCTTAGATGGGACACAAGGTCCTGTGACCTACCTATCCCATTTGCTCCCAGTCTTCCATGGAAAAAGAACCTAGTGATTACAAAAAGATTTAGAGAGAACATCTAACCATTAAAGAACCAGTGATCAATATTTTTTTAAAATAAAACTTGTAACAACTATTCTCCTAATCTATTCATTAATGCAAGGAGAGCAACAATTGAAAACCATATCCATCCTAACTCACTATGATTTATTACATGTTAACAGTAGTAACTCCCCCTAAAAATTTCAGGAATTTCAAAACCTGCACGTACAGACTTATCAAGCAGGTAGCAGATTAATTGTTCAAAAGAAGACTCAGTAAATCCTAATAGTGCTCTAATTTTAGTTTACAAATATCCAATTTGCAAATCAATGTTCACTAAACTTAATTTGTTACTAGTAAGTATATGGATGTGCCCATTATTCTAGAGTAAGAACTAGAATATTTATTCATTGTGTGGCCAACGTGGGTGATTCTTTTAGCATGCTAGTGAGATATGAATCAAGCTTTTGACGTTATTGCTCTGAGGCTGCTTTCAGCGCTAACATTCTATGAAATTATGTAAGGTATTTTATTGCTTCCTTTATTCATTGAGAGTAGCCCCTCCTGTATTAATTTTCTGGGACTGCCATAGCAAAGTGCCACAAACTGGGTGGCTTATAATAACAAAAAAAATTATTGTTTCATGATTCTGTGGGCTAGAAGTCCAAAATCGAGTTGTCGACAAGGTTGGTTCCTTCTGGGGCTGTGAAGGAGAATCTGCCCTACACTTCTTGTGCAGGCCAGGGCAACCCTAAACTCATCTTGGGTGCCAATCTGCCATGTTGGCTTCTAATTAACCCCTATTCCAGAATTGCCTCTGAGATTTCCAGTTTATCTATATTCCCTTGTGTAAGAGCATGTATTTACTGTAAATCTTGCCCTTAAGTCAAACAATTTTGATGTTATCAGATTTCTACTGTCCTACGTATTCCTTCTGAATTACCCCTCCCTTATGATTTATAAACCCTGATCCACCATCTTGTCTCATACTACCCAAGACACAGGCATGACTTCTGTTTGTAAGACCCCACTGAATATTTCTTTCTACAGAACAAGACAAGGATGCCCTCTGTTACTACTCCTATTCAACATAGTGCTGGAAGTCCTAGCCAGAGCAACCAGGCAAGAGAAAGAAATAAAAGGTATCTGAATAGGAAGAGAGGAAATCAAACTCTATTTGCAGACTATATGCTTATATACTTAGAAAACCCCATAGTCTTTACCCAAATCTGATAAACAACTTCAGCAAAGTTTCAAGATACAAAATCAGTGTATAAAAATCAGTAGCATTTCAATACACCAACAATATCCAAGCTGAGAGCCAAATCCAGAATGCACTCTGGCTCACAATAACCACAAAAAGAATAAAAATACCTAGGAATAGCTAACCAGTAAGGTAAAAGATCTCTACAATAAGAATTACAGAATACTGCTGCAAGAAATCAGAGATGACACAAACAAATGGAAAAGTATTTCATGGTCATGGATAAGAAGAATCAATATTGTTAAAATGGCCATACTGACCAAAGCAAATTACAGATTCAATGCTATTCCTATCAAACTACCAACGACGTTCTTCGCAGAATTAGGAAAAAACTATTTTAAAATTTACATGGCACCAAAAAAGAACCCAAATCACAAAACATGAGGTATCACATTACCTCACTTCAAACTATACTTCAAGGTTACAGTAACCATAACAGTATGGTACTGGTACAAAAACAGACACATAGATCATGGAACAAAAATGGATCATGTAGGCCGTATGGCTACAACTATCTAATCTTCAATGAAGCCAACAATTATAAGCAATGGAGAAAGGACTCCCTAGTATATAAATGGAGCTGGGAGAACTGGCTAGCCATATGCAGAAGATTGAAATTGGACCCTTTCCTTAAACAGTATACAAAAATCAACTCAAGATGGAGTAAAAACTTATATGTAAAACCTAAAATTATAAAACCCTGGAAGATAACCTAGGAAACATCATTCTGGACATAGGCCCTGGCAAAGATTTCATGATAAAGTTGCCAAAATCATTTGCATCAAACCCCAAAATTGACAAATGTGATCTAATTAAACTAAAGAGCTTCTGCATAGCAAAAGAAACTATCAACAGAGTAAATAGACAACCTACAGAATGGGAAAAATATTTGCTAATTATGCATCTGACAAAGGTCTAACATCTGAAACTTCAACAGATTAACAAGCAAAAACCAAACAATCCCATTAAAAAATGGACAAAGGACATGAACAGACACTTTTCAAAAGAAGACATACGCAAAGCCAACAAGCATATGAAAAAATGCTCACCATCTCTAATCATTAGAGAAATGCACATCAAAACCATAATAAGATCCATCTCACATCAGTCAGAATGGTTATTACTAAAGAGTCAAAAAATAACACTTATTGGTGAGGTTGCAGAGAAAAGGGAATGCTTATACACTGCTGGTGGGAATGTAGCAGTGTGGCAATTTCTCAAAGAGCTAAAAACAGAACTACCGTTTGACCTAGCAATCCCATTACTGGGTATATAACCAAAGGAATATAAATTATTGTACCATAAAGACACATGCACATGCATGTTCATCACAGTACTATTCACAGTAGCAAAGACATGGAATCAACCTAAATGTCCTTCAATGATAGACTGGATAAAGAAAATGTGTTACATATACACCATGGAATATATGCAGCCATATAAAAGAGCAAGATCATACCTTTGTCAGAACGTGGATAGAGCTGGAGGCCACTATCCTAAATGAGCTAAACGAAAGAGAAAACCAAATACTACATGTTCTCACCTATAAGTGGCAGCTAAACATTGAATGCACATGAACACAAAGAAGGGAACAACAGATGCCAGGGCCTACTTGAGGGTGGAGAGTGGGAGGAGAGTGAGGATCTAAAAACTACCTATGCTTATGACCTGTGTGATGAAATAGCATGCACACCAAACCCCCATGACATGACATGTAATTTGCCTATATAATAAACCTGCACATGTAGCCCTGAGCCTAAAAGTTTAAAATAAGAAAATATTTAAAACAATATATATGTATATATATAACAAATGAATAAATGTTTCTTTCTGAGAAAGTAGCTGTGTCAGCCTTTCTCTTCAGCCTCTCAGCTTTCTCGGTCTTTGGTATAGGTTTGCATAGGCCTTCCCACTGTGAAACACCTCTCTCCTAGCTTGTGGTAGTTTTCCAGCAATCATTGGCATACCTTGGCTTGTAGATGCATTACTCCAATCCTCCACCTTCATGTGGCATTCTCCCGTTGTCTCTTGACATCATCTTCTCTCTGTACCTGTCTGTCCCTGTGACTGAATTTCTCCTTTTGATAAGGATCTCAGCCATATTGGATTAGTCCTCACTCTAATGACTTCATGTTAACTTGATAACCTCCATAAAGACTTTGTTTACAAATAATATCACATTTGGAGGTACTGAGTATTAGGACTGTAATATATCATTTTATGAGATACAATTCAACCCATAAAACTTCTAAAACAAAAACTTTTTAATGAGAGACAAACAGGTTATTTTGGCCTAGCATTTAAGTTGCTTTAGACAACTTCCTTGAATCGTGAGCAAAATATTTATGTAAGCCAAGGGACAAGCTGTGATGATGGGAATAGAGTACATTCTCCCGCATAAAATCAAAGTCTACTTCAGAATTATCTCCTGAACTTCAGAGTACGTCATCATTTGAAGAAAGGTTTCAGAGTACTCCCCAAAGAAAACGTTCTTTAGAAAGCAATCCTGCTGTTGCAGACTGTCCCTTTCTTTATGTGATGGACATGAGAATGCATAAGGCGAACCTCCAAATTCGGGGAACCTAAGCGACTAGAGATCAACTTCTGCATCTGAGTCCATCATGCATTTGCCCTTGCTTCCCATATGTGCGTCTCAGCCAACCACTGAGCCAGGCAGCAATACTAATATAGTTCCATTCCTGAGGGTTCACAAGCCTCCTCTCGGCTGAATTTTAGCTGAGTATTCCCCAATGGCTTTGACAAACGTTTCTTAGATGCATGATAATTTAGGACACTTCTACCCGACTTCCTTCCCTCTCTCTCCTTCACTTAAAGCCAAGCTTGCATCGTGGTTTGATGCCCTTTCCAGCCCTTCCTGGCTCCTTTCCATTTTTTTCTCACAAGCATTTCTCCTAATAAACACCATTTCATCATTAATCCTGTCTTGGCACCTGCTTCCAGGAGGTTCTGACTTTATACAACACAATTCCAGGAAGCAGAGCCCTTGTATCTTTTGCTAATGCCTTTAGGGCTGTGCCCCTTTTTATGTCTCCCCTTTGTATCTAAATTCAAGAAAATTGTACACCAGCATCACAGTAGATAGTCTTGAAATAGTATTAAGAGCTAATCAAACTAAAGTGTATATGTGTCATTCTTATATAATCTTTAATTTTCTTTAAGAGCTTATTCTAGCCAGGTGCAGTGGCTCAAGTGTGTAATCTCAGCACTTTGGGAGGCCAAGGTGGGTGGACCACTTGAGGTTAGGTGTTCAAGACCAGCCTGGCCAACATGGCGAAACCCCATTTCTACTAAAAATAGAACAATTAGCCAGATGTGGTGGTGGGCACTTGTTATCCCAGGTACTTGGGAGGCTGAGGCAGAAGAATTGCTTGAACCTGGGAGGTGGAGGTAGCAGTGAGCCAAGATCACTCAACTGCCCTCCAGCCTGGGTGACAGAGCGAGACTCTGTCTCAAAAAAAGAAGAAAAAAAAGCTTATTCTGACTTTATTTTTGGACTATAATTTGAATTATTTTAAAATTGTACATAAATGTATCAGAATATATACATGTTTATATATAATTTATAATATATAAAAATATTTCTATATATGTATATACACATACACATACACATCCCTTTTGCTTGAATTGTGAAACGCTGCCCCCCAGTAGCTTTTAACTAAAGCTTTATGACAGGTAAAAGATGTTTTTGTTTAACTATGTAATCACTATCAAAAGCAATGCCACACATTTTTAAATCACATTTAAAAAATTCTATTAACTGATGCTGAAACAAGAAACTCAGATAATGCAAAATATAATATCAAAATTTATTAAATTATACAAAAAGTATTTAAAAAGTGATAATGAAAAAAATAATATAGCATTGCAAATACAGATGGATAAAAACCCATCAAAAACTTGCTGTCTATTGTATATCACAAGGGTGATGAGGTCTGGTCTCATTTTTTTGACTTCAGTTCTTTAATTAATTTACCCTAATGATTTTCTGGGCCACTTTTCTGCTTTTTCACTTCAATCCAATTTAGAATCTGTTTTCAGTCTTTGCAGTGATATGGTCTTGAACTTGTTTGATATGACTTTGTCATAGTTGTTATCAATTTGATTTTGTCAGCTTTTTATCTTTTAAAGACTTCATAATTTCTGTGTTCCTGTCCTGTTATGCTTTATCAGTATCTATATCATCTATATATTTATCTATATCATCTATATCTGAATAGATATGTATGCATGTTTGCATATATACCTTTTCTCTCACTTTAAGGGATTTGATGCAGAAGGAATATTGGAGCAAATGCTCAGTCCACAATCTTGATTTAGTCTTGACAGTATTTTTTTATTTGAAGACACTGGGTTATCTAGAATATGCTAGATTTTTTGTTGGAAATCTAACAACATTCCTCCCATTTCTCTTTTCTTGTATTTTAGAGGGTGAAAACCCAGGGTATTATATCCTTAGAATTTATTTCTACCAGAAAGTTGCCACTTTATATATTCTGCCAACAAGCTTGCTTGCAAGAGGAGAAGCCACTATTATTCCCGAGTCAGTGGCATGAACACGTGGACTGCAGAGATAACTGAGGTAAGATTTGATGAATGACTTCCTTGTGTCATTATATTCTGAAGTGGCAGTTTCCTGTGATTCTTATTCATACTGATTTTTTGAACACTAGCAATGACTTCCCTGATCCTTGCTTTATCACTCATCCCAAAGGTTTGGTAACTTTCCAATCTCTGTATTACATCCCTTTCAGTTTGAAATCTCAAGCATATTCTGTTTTTCTAACCAACCTCTGACTGATATGCAGAATTTCAACAGCTGCCCAAGGTCTCACAGTTAATCAGATTTGAATCCAGATCTGTCCAGCTTTTGACTATATGAATTCTTGAGTTCTGTATCTTTCTTCAGACGATTGTGGGTTGCTTTACATTCCTAAATGGAGAATAGCATGTTTGGAGTTCTGTAGGGGGAAAAGATTATACCTCTATATCTAAATCTAATCTATGTAGTACTTATATCACTTTGTGTTTCCTTAGACTGATTTGGAGAAGTCTGAGGCAAATTAAAATATATAGCTACAAGGAAACCAGAAAGAACTATCTGAAGATTTGAACTACTCCTTTTGTTATTTTTCATAGCCATGGGTTAAAGAGGGAGGATAGTAGAGATTAGCAAGAGGGAAAACAAGAGATTTGTGATTTGGAGTGACACAACTACTGATCCAGTTATAACCACCCATCCCTGCATTTGTATGTTTGGATGAGTATTTTTAAAATATTAAATTCTAGTCATTGTCAATATTTGTAGTATAATGTAAATATTATCCAGAAGGGGCTGATTTATGTAAAATATTTAGTTTGACTCAGGAAGAATAAATAACAGATCACATTGTTGTTGCTACCATTCATCTTATAAAAGTTAACAATTAAATTTAGAAACATGCTTATTTATACATTATTGACATTTCAGACACAATTGATTTTATTTGCTTATAAATAACTAGCTCTGCAACAATGTTTTACTTTTCCATTCATCAGCTTGTTTTTAAAATGTTTTGAAAGGACAGAGAGTGAAAGTTGGATTAACAATGAAGCAATTAATTTAATTGCAAAAGAAATGACTAGGCAAAATATATAGTGTAAAGGAAGGAATCTAGATAAGTACTTGTGTTGCTATGGGGACTGGATTTATAGATGACCTTAAAAAGAGAATTAATTTCCTTGGATGTTTCTCTTGTGCAGTTTTACTCTCAGATTGTAAATGGTCAAATGTTCCATGTTTGACAACAAATAACTGATTGAAAATTGTTATTCTTCTATTTATAACTGTCTTCATTGATGTATCAGATAAATCACACAAGTGACTCCATCAATACCCAAAATAAGCCAATCAATATAAATTGTTTGTGTGTGTGTGTGTGTGTGTGTCTGTTACATTTAAAAATTGTTCAAACAAATTGCAAGGTTCAATTTCCTCTAGTGACAGGCCAGGTGTTTAGCTTAGCCTGCCATTTCCTCCCCACCACCATACCAAAAATAATTTTTTTTTACACCGAAAAGATAAGTTGCTGAAGACATTTAAAAATATATATTGTTAAAATTATCAAAAAGCTGGTAAAATAGCAAAGAATTATCTGGTTAAAAACTGAAGGAAGAGTGAAAACCCAGAAAAGTAAACTGACCATCAGAATTGCTCTTGCCTGGAGGTAATTTGCCAACCTGAATTTTGATGTAAACAGCCACAAGAGGTTAAGGAAACAAAAATAAAATTCTAGAACCCAGATATGAAGTCTAATAGAACACTCTCCCTGCATTAAGCTGGGATCCCCAAATAGCTCAATATACACAGAACAAGAGTGACCTGGATGTAAGGCTGACTTTCACCCAACTCTGAGTCCTAAAAGGCTTGCCTTGCAATTGAGCAGGGGAGGGAGAAAAATTGAGACCTGCCCTTGTCTAGATTTTTCAGGCAAGGCCAAATTCCAATATTAAAATTACTAAACATCTATTACAAAACACTTATATTTCTAAACAAATAAAAGAACGTCTTGAAAACATCTAGAGGGAAAAGGAAAAAATAAAAAGTAACCAAATTGATTTCAAACAACCAACTAGATATTCTATAAATTAAAATTACATTAAACAGAATTAAAAACTCAAAGAGTAGACTTAACAGTAACTTAGGCACAACCTGAAATAAAATGTGTAAACTTGAAGATAGATGAGGGGAAATTACTGGAAATGCAACACAGACAAAAAGATTAAAGTATGGAGACGAGTTTACAAAGCATGGATGACAAAGTAAGAAATTCTAACACATTTAATTGAATTTCCAAAAGGCAATAATAGAGAGAAAAAGTCATTGGAATTTCCTTTTTGCATTCAAATTTATAGTGTGGTTATTTATAATTTTTCTGCCATTATAAAGAGACATGAACTATGTAATCTGTGCATATATATCTGACAACATCGCAATATGATTTATTTTTAACATTTACAGTGTACCATATCATTGCTGTATTACAATATCACACATGTAAACAAAAGCTAAACCTATTTTAAAATATTGGTTATATGAAAATGAACATTATTTAATAAATTGTAACAATTGAATTTAATGTTTAAGACATTGAATTATAATTACCAAATTATAGCTTACCAAAATGTACCAGCTCAAAAGAAGCACTACACCTATTTCACATGATGCTTTTTTTGAATTAAAACATTCTTCCTATTAAAAAGAGAAAACAAATAATATGTTAACTGTGCTTGAATATATAATCAGCCTTCCAATTTATTGATCTACTGAATTGACAAACATCACATTTATTTTTATAAATCGGTATTTAAAGACAACTAAATTTAAAAAATAATTGATGGTGGATATCTAGGATAATGGACAATTTTCTTTGCTTCAATAATTTTCTTTGCTTCAAAAAAAGGACTGGCAATTTTATGCAAAATGAGGTAGAAGAGATATTCTAATTTTATGTCAATAGATTGAATATAAGTAATAGAATCTTAAGACATCCTAGTGTTTTGAAAAATGATTGTTCATGAGAAATCTCTTGTCTGGTATGCAGAATATCTGGACTGTGTCAAACTCTCAGAAAATAATTGCTTCCAAAATGCCTGAAAGGTTTTCATTGATCATTTAACTTTCTGAGGATGGGTAATTTAGTAAAACCAAATAATTCCATAATTTACCTTTCCCCAACTTTATTTATCTTCTGCGACTGGTTCTGTTTTTTGCTATTAAAAAGGTCTTTGAGTATAATTGACATACAATAACGAATTTTGACACATGTACATACCCATAAAGCTATCACTACAATCAAGATATCAAACATTGCCAAAACCCCAAAAGTTTTCTCATGCCTCTTGTAATCTAGTCCTCCCTCTTCCTCTATTTGCAATCAACCACTTATCTGATTTCTGTCACTATTGATTCATTTGTTTTTTCTACAACTTTATAAAAATGGAATCATACAGTATGTAGGTTTTTTTTTTTTTTCAATCTGGCTTATTTCATTCTGTGTCATGATTCTGAGATTCATCAATATCGCTGTTTGGATAAGTAGTTCATCATTTTTATTACTGAGTAATATCCTGTTGCATTGATATGCCCCAATTTGTTTCTTTATTCACCTATGGACAGACATTTGGATTGTTTCCAGTTTTTCACTGTTACAAATAAAGCTTCTAAGAATATCCGCACAAGTATTTATGGACATATGCTTTCATTTATTTTGGGTAAATGCCAAGAAGTGGAGTGTCTGTACCATATGGAAGGTTTTATTTAATTAAAAAAAACTGCCAAGCTGTTTTCCGATGTGTTCCTAATATTTTATATTCTTTCCAACTGAGTATGAGGGTTCTAGTTACTCTGTATACTCACTAGTACTGTATGTGGTTAGTTTCTTAATTTTAGTCATTTTGATGAGTGTGTAGTTGTATTTAATTGTGTTTTAATTTTAATTTTCCTGATGACTAATGATGACTTTTCATATACACATTGAGTATTCATATATCTTCATTTGTGAAGTGTCTACTCAAATCATGTGTTCATTTTTTATTGGATTGTTGTATTACATACTTAATAGTTCTTAATATATTCTGCATACATGTACTTTTTCTGATCATGCATCACACAATAATGTGTTGACAATATTTTCAGAGGACATTTTTAAGAAGATAATTGCAGAAACTTTTCCAAAACTGTTGAAACACATTAATCTACAAATTCAAGAAGCCAGATGTGTAGCAAATAAAATAAATAAATAGAAATCAACACTCAAGAGTATTATAACTAAACTGCAGAACAACAATGGCAAAGAGAAGTCTTAAAATTATCCAGAGAATAAGGACAGTTGACTTCAAAGGAATAGAAATTTCTTAACAGCCACAATGAAAAACAGAGAACAAGGGTAATGACAAGTTTGCATAATTACCACCTGATATTTGTTCCTCATTCCTCCTTGCATGTTAGATCTTCCATCCCGGATCGCTTTCCTTCTACTTGATGTGCATATTGTATGTTTCCTTTTGGTGAGGGGGGAGTTCTTGTTTTGTTTGCCTGAAAAAATGTTCATTTTGTTGTCAGTCTTGAAATATATTTTCTCCTGGGTTTGGAATTTTAGGTTGTTGTCTATTTCCTTCCAGCCAACTTAATGTATCATTGGACTGACTGTCTTCTGACTTCTATTATTGCTGTTGAGAAGTTACCTCACAGTCTAACTACTGCCTCTTTGAAAGTAATCTTTCTTTTATCTATGGCTTTTTAACATCTTCCATTTGTTATTAAGATTCTGTCATTCCCAACGTAGGCAATTACCATTCTGGACATAGGAATGGGCAAAGATTTCATGACAGAACACCAAAAGCAATTGCAACAAAAGTAAAAGTTGACAAATGGGATCTAATGAAATTAAAGAGCTTCTGCATTGCAAAAGAAACTGTCAACAGAGTAAATAGATGACCTACAGAATGAAAGAAAATTCTTGCAAAATATGTATCTGACAATGGTCTAATATCCAGCATCTATAAGGAACTTAAATTTACCAGAAAAAAGACAGCCCCACTAAAAAGTGGGCAAAGGACATGAACAGACACTTTTCAAAAGAAGACATACACACAGCCAACAAGCAAATGAAAAAATATGCAGTATCACTAATTATTACAGAAATGCAAATCAAAACTACAACAAGATACCATCTCACACCAGTCAGAATGGCTATTATAGAAAAGTGAAAAAATAACAGATGCTGGTGAGGTTTCAGAGAAGAAGAAATGCTTAAACACTTTTGGTGGGAATGTCAATTAGTTCAACCATTGTGGAAAGCAGTGTGGCTATTCCTAAAAGAGCTAAAAACAGAAATACAATTCAGCCCAGCAATACCATAATTGGGTATATACCTAAAGGAATATAAATTGTTCTTTCATAAAGACACATGCATGCATATGTTTACTGCAGCACTATTTACAGTAGCAAAGACCTGGAATCAACCTAAATGCCCATTAATGGTAGATTCAATAAAGAAAATATGGTCCATATACACCATGGAATACTATGCAGCCATAAAATGAACAAGATCATGCCCTTTGCAGAAACATGGATGGAGCTAGAGGCCATTATCCTTAGCAAACTAATGCAGGAATAGAAAACAAATACTACATGTTCTCACTTATAAGTGGGAGCTAAATGATGAGAACACATGGACACATAGAGGGGAACAGGAGACACTGGGGCCTACTTGTGGGTGGGGGGTGGGAGGAGGGAGAGGATCAGGAAAAATAATTAATGGGTGCCAGGATAAACACCTGAGTGATGAAATAATCTGTACAAGTTCTCATGACACAAGTCTACGTACAAAACTGCACATGGTACCCCTGAACTTAAAATGAAAGTTAACAAAATAAAGTCTCAGTTTCCTTTCATTCAGGATTTCAGTTTTTCAATTTTAGAAGATCAAACCAAAAAGTCAGAAATTTGCACGTAAGAAAATATCACTTGTACCCATAATGTATAATATATAAAATATGATGTATCAATAAAAATTTTCCATAAAAAGAATAAAAATAAAATAAATTTAAAAAATAAAAATTGTTCAAGAGCACACAAGAATTGAAAAGACAGTAAGATATTACCAGTTTAAATTCTAAGGATAAACATGAAATCTTAACTGAGAGTGGAGGGTGAGAGGAGGAAGAAGATCAGGAAAAAACCTAAAGGGCTCTAGGCTTAACACCTGAGTGATGAAATAATCTGCACAAACCCTCACGACACGAGTTTACCTATATAACAGACTTGCACATGATACCCCTGAACTTAAAATAAAAGGTTTGGTAAATGCCATAAAACAAAAGCAGTTTCAGAGCTCCACTTAGAGTTAAGATTTGTTACATGCATAGAATGTGTAATGATCAAGCAAGGGTATTTGGGGTATTGATCACCTTGAGTATTTATCTTTTCTATGGATTGAGAGCATTTCAAGTTCTCTCTTTTAGCTACTTTGAAATATATAATACATTGTTGATAACTATAATACCTCTACTCTGTTATGAACACTAGAATTTATTCCTTCTGTCTAACTGTATGCTTGTATTCATTGACCAGTCTCCCTTCATCATCCCCCCAACTTACAGACCCTTTGCAGCCTCTAGTATCTATTATTGTACTCTCTACCTTTATGAGGTCAACTTTTTAGCTCCCACATGTGACTGAAAACATGGGAAATTTGTCTATCTAGCTTATTTCACTTAACATAATGACCTTGAGTTCTGTCCACGATGCCAAAAATGATTTAAGTTCATTTGTTTTTATGACCTAATAGTAGTCCAGTTTGACCATATATATGATATATGTATACACACATACACATATATATATTCTACATTTTCTTTATTCATTTGATGATGGACACTGTATTAGGCTGTTCTTGCATTGCTATAAAGAAAAATCTGAGACTGGGTAATTTGTAAAGATGTTTAATTGGCTCAGAGTTCTGTGGACTTGAGAGGCAGTATGGTGCTGGCATCTACTCAGCTTCTGGTGAAGGCCCAGGGAGCTTTCAATCATGCCAGAAGGTGAAGGAGGAATAGGCACATTGAATAGCAAAAGCAGTAGGAAACAAGAGAGAATGGGCAGGGGGAGGTGACACACTCTTAAATGAAAATATCTTGTGTGAACTCAGAGTGAGAGCTCACTTATCAGCAGACCATTCATGAAGGTTCCAACCTCATATCCAGACACCTCCCACCAGGCCCCACCTTCAACACTGGGGATTACATTTCAATATGAAATTTGGGCAGGTACAAATATCCAAAATGTATTAAATACTTAGGTTCTCCTTTCCAATTTAGATGCCTTTTATTTCTTTCTCTTGCCTTATTGCTCTTGCTAGGACTTCCAGTACTATGTTGAATAGGAGTGGTGAAAGTAGGTATCTTTGTCTATTCCAGTTCTAAGCGGAAAAGGTTTCAGAATTTTCCCATTCAATATGATGTTAGCTGTGGGTTTGTCATTTATGGCCTTTATTATATTAAGATATGTTTCTTCTATGCCTAGTTTTTTGAAGGAATGTTAAATTTTATTAAATGATTTTTTTGCATCTATTGAGATAATTATATGATTTTAGTCTTTCATTTTGTTGATGTGATGTATCTTGTTTACTAATTTGCATGTATTGAACCATCTTTGCATCCCTGGAATAAATCCCACTTAATCATGGTGCATTATTTTTTGAAGTTCTGTTGGATTTTTTGCTAGTATTTTGTTGAGGCTTTTCATCTGTTTATCAGGGATGTTGTCCTGTAGTTTTCTTTTTTAAAATTGCATCCTTGTTGGATTTTGTTATCAGAGAAATGCCGGCTTTATAGAACAAATTAGAAAGAATTTCTTCTCTTCGACTGTTTTGAATATTTTGAGAAGAATTGCTGTTCATTCTTCTTTGAAAGTTTGGTAGAATTCAGCAGTGAAGCCATCTGGTCCTGGGCTTTTCTTTGTTGTGACAGTATTTATCACGTATTCAATCTTGCTACTCGTTATTGGTCTGTTCAGGATTTCTATTTCTTCCTGATTCAATCTTGGTAGGTTGTATGTGTCCAGGAATTTATTCATTTTTTCTAAGTTTTCTACTTTGTTAGTGTATAGTTGTTCATAATAGCCTTGGATGAGCTTTTGTATGTCTGTGGTATCGGTTGTAATGTCTCTTTTTTCATTTCTCATGTTACTTATTTGGGTCCTTTCTCATTTTTCTTTGTTAGTCTAGCAAGTGACTCATCAGTTTTGTTTATAAGTTCAAAAGGACCAAGTTTTATTTTCACTGATCCCTTGAATTGTCTTCTTGGTCTCTATTTTATTTCTGCTCTGCTCTTTATTATTTCTTTCCTTCTACTAATTTGGGGTTTGGTCTGTTCTTGCTTTTCTAGCTCTGTATTCTGTAGCTGTTGGATGACATGTTCTCTAATTTTCTGTTAGGCCCATTTGGTCTAATGGGTAGTTTAAATCCAACATTTCTTTGTTAATTTTTTATCTATATATTCTGTTTAACGCTGAGAGTGGGGTGTTGAAGTCCCTATTATTGTATTCTCTTTCTTCAAATGTAATCATATTTGCCTTATATATTTGGGTGCTCCATTGTTGAGTGCAGATATGTTTAGAATTATTGTATCCTTTTGCTGAACTAATCTTTTTATCATTATATAATGCCCTTCTTTTTCTCTTTTTATTGTTCTCGATTGAAAGTCTGTTTTATCTTATAAAAGTATAGCTACCCCTGCCTGCTTTTAGTTTCTGTTTCTGTGGAATATCTTTTTCCATCTCTTTACTTTTGTCTATATGTGCCTTTACAGGTGAGACGAATTCCTTGTAGGCAGCATATAGTTAGATCATTTTGAAAAATCCATTCAGTTTATATCTTTTAAGTGAAAAGTTCAATCTGTTTGCATTCAAGTTTATTGATATGTGAAGGCTTAGTCTTGTCATTCAATTAATTGATTTCTGGTTGTTTTATATATCTTTTGTATCTTTCTTTCTCTCTCATTGTTTATTATTGTGGTTTGGTAGTATTCTATAAGGATAAAATTTGAGCTTCTTTCTCTTCCTTGTTTGTGTGTTTGTGCTACTGGTGGTTTTTATTTTTGTGTGTGTTTTCATGATAATATAATATGAAAATATCAGGAAACATAATAGCTTTTTTTTTTCTTCCAGGAATAGAATTCCCTTAAATATTTCTTGTAGGACTGGTCTAGCTGTAATGAATTCTCTCACCTTTTGCTTGTCTGGGAAAGATTTTATTTCCTCTTTGCCCTCAAGAATATAAAAATTTTAAATATTTGGTCAATTTATGGTGTTCCATATGACATAAAGGGTTTAATCAATCTTTTTAACTTTTTTTTTTTCAGTTTGTCTGACTGGGTTGTTTGAAAAGGACTTAAGTTCTGGGATTCTTTCTTCTGCTTGATCTAGTTTATTGTTGAAGCTTTTGAATGTATTTTGTATTTCTTTTAATAAATTATTTAGCTTCAGAATTTCTATTTGGTTCTTTTTTAATGATATCTATCTCTTTGGAATTTCTTATTCATATCCTGAATTGTTTTTCTGATTTATTTGTATTGTTTTTCAGTATTCTCTTGTATTTCATTGAGCTTCTTTAGTATCAATATTTTGAATTGTTTTTCTGGGGTTTTGTAAATTTGTTTTTGATTGCAACCTGCTGCTGGAGAATTATTGTGTTTCTTTGAGTGTGTAATATATTCTTATTTTTTCATGTTTCTTGTGTCTGTATGTCGATATCTATGCACATGATGTAATTGTTGCTTCTTCCAATTTTTGAATTTGCTTTTATGTGAGACAAATTTTTCCTGATGATGTATTTATGGTAATGGCTGGGTAGGTCACTTTTGATTTGATTCTGGGTGTGTGCAGTATGTAGTCTCTGTATGATTTCTTTAGTTGTAACAGCATCAATAGTGTTTGTGATTTTCTCAGTGGCTTAGGGTGCAGTTGTTAGTAGAGGTTGTGGTAAAGTTTTACTCGGGACTGGAATACCAGATGGGGCAGTCTTCAGGTACTAGTTGTGGCAGCAGTAAGCTGAATGTGTCTGTCCTTAAACTCCAGGGTGGTGCATGCTGGCACTGATGTTAGTTGGTTCAGGAAAGACAGTTCTTGAACTTCTAGGCAGTTTTCTCAGGTTCCAGGGATTGTCAGTGGACTGGGTAGGTGGACAGGTTCTTGAGCCCCTAGGCAGTAGGCAATAGGCATTAGGCATTGCATGGTTGATGGCTGTAGCAATGGTGAGACAACTCTTTGGGACTCAACTGATCCATGCTGATGATGTTGATGGCTGCAATCAGCTTGGTGGGCCAATCTCCAGACTCCTTGCTGATGCATGCATTGGGTGCCAGCTGTGGTGGTAGTGGCAGGTTCAGTGGACTTGACCACAGACCTTGGGAGAAGTGTTCAGGTACCAAAGGTGGTAAGCTGGACTGGGCAATTCTCAAGACCCTGGATGGTATATCTGGGTACTGAGTGGGGAGTGGAGCTTGGCCAGGTGGATCTGTTCTCAGGCATCCCAGTGATGCAAACAGGCACTGGCTGTTGTAGGCAGAGATTGGGTGATCCCCAGGCCCCTGTTGGAGTGCCCAGTTGGAGGCAGCAGTGGCTGCACTGCAGCCCTGACACTGGGGAGCAACCATAGGCAGGTGCCTTTGTGGGGGGGGCGGTGCGGGGCATGCACTTTGCTTGAGCTTTAGCCCCAAAGCAGCACACAGCAGTGGTGATTGTGGGCAGCAGAATTTGTCCTCAGGGTGCATGAAAATGCATGACTGCCCTCTGCTAGGAGGGCAGGACTACTGCCAGTGGCTCTTGCATAGGCCCCAGTTGCAGCAGACAAGGATATCAATGGAGCTCCAGAAATGCAAAGATGCAGCCGCTATTGGGCCTCCAGGCAGGATGCAGTCTGGTGGGGACTTGGCTCTCAAAATGGCACTGGAGCACAGCTGCTTAGGAGTTGGGGTGTGTGGGACCCCGTGTGAGCTCTCTCTCTGGAGCAGTGCCTTCACGTGCTCTCTAGCTCTTTATGTTAGTCCCAGGGTCCATAAAGGTTCAGGGGCTCTACTGTAACTTGGATTATAAGAGCCTGTGGTGGGAATTTGGAGTTCTGGGGGCCCCTCACTTGCCCTTCATCTTCATTAGGGAGCTTCTCCAGACTCCTAACCAATCACAGCCAAACAGGCTGTCTTTCCTTTCTCTCCTTCCTTGCTTCAGTGCTTCCTGTCATTTTTTTATTAAATTCTAGTGTTCACTCTTTGATGATCTATTTGAAGTGTGATTATGTATTTGCTATTTTAGTTTCTCTTCATGGAAGAGGCAAGTACCAGATCTAATAAGCATCTAGTCAACCATCCTGAAGCCTCTCCCAAGGAGTTTTTTAAAGATACATTCTCTTTGTATTTTTGCTATTCCTTCCTCAGGAGATTGATTTGAGAATCTATCCCACCGTTTTCTCCAAAATCAAACTTCTTACTCTGAATTTTTATTATAGACTAGCAAAGAAATTTCCCCTTTTCCACCTGAATGATCTTACTTAAATTCACTTACTCTATTCAATCTAGTTTTTGAATCTTAATTTAAAAACACAAAATTAATTAAAAATTAATTTAAAAACACAAAAGTGGGGTTTTGTTTACTTTTTTGAAAAGCTGCATTTTAAAAACGTATTTGCCATATTATCTAGAGTCTTGCTAGTGAAAATTCCACCACAAAGACAATATTGGTTATTTATTGTTTATCTTAACTGGATTATTATTCAATTAGGATGCTTTCACTTCAAGCAAATCAATCTTTAATCACTTGATGGCACCAGAAATAGTTAAGAGTTTACAGCATAGTTTGTAGTAAGGAAGAGACCTAACTTCTTCCATCAAGGGGAAAAGGAGTTGGGATATATGTTACCCTCTCTAACCATCAGATTTCCCCTTTTATTCAAATAGCAAGTCAGTACCTTTGGATCAAGGCATCAAGATCTATTCCATACATATTAATACCACTCATGTAAGTTGTAATTTTGAATGTGGTTTCAGCTTGCTGTTTATGAAGCCATTCTAGACCATTTCTGAATTAATGAAAGTACACTGTTCTAGGAGTCCAGACTTTAGTTACAGCTTCATCACTAATTATCACTCTCTGAGTCTTAATGGTTTCATGCAGAAAAGAAAGGCAGACATCTAAGTTGGCCAGGTCAGGATCAGTAGGGTTTCTTAAATATCATCTGACTTCATCATGGATATCAAGAATCGAAATTCCTGAAGGAGAGCCCTGGGGAAAGAAAAATAAATATATATGTTTTATACAATAATATATATATATAATTTATATAAAAATATATAACTTATACATATATAAAATTGTATATAGAGAGTACATATATATTTCTATACTTTTATGAAGTCCTTTTAGGTCCAAGAGATAGCTCACATTTTCTTTAATTTAATCCTCAAAACAAACCAGAATTTGAGTATCAATATCCCCCTTTCACTGATAAGGAACTTGAGTTTCAGAGAAGTTAAGTGACTTGCCCAAGGACACAAAGCCAGAAAGAAGAAGGGTAGGGTCTCAGAACCATTTTCTGTTTCTAGGTTCAGCCCTCTTCCCACTACAACAGAGGTTTATACTATATATTAAGTTGTGGGTATGTCAGGGAAGACTATAATAAGGGAAGAAAATATATTACAAAATAACTATAATATTATCAAAATAACATTTTAAACACATTGGGATAAAATTAAAAACCTCCTTAAAACAAATATTACCATTTATATATTAATTTTAGTTATCAGTTACAAGGCAAAATAACTTCTCCAAATTGTAATACTATAAAAGTCATCTTTTAAAAACACAAATGACATTACATTGCTTAAGTTCAATACCTACTGTTTACTGAATGTAATTCAAATTTCTAATCTTAATAATAGGAGTCAATTTTGATAAGACCCTGCCTAACTCTCAGCTTCATTTCCACTCATATAAATTGCTATAGGCATGCCAATATCTCATACCTTTTTAAAATTCCTATGCTGTTTTATGCTTCTGTCCCTTCTGCTTGGAATGCTTTTCCTTAACATTCCTCCACATGCCTCCTCCCACCGCCCCCCTTTTTCCTGTCCAGTGAACTTCTGTCCTTAATTTAAAACTTCTTAAAGGTCATCTTAGCTGTGAGACTTTCCCTGACCATGTAGACACAATTTCCTCAACCTCAATTCTCTGATGGCACCATGTCCATATTTCAATTAACCGTTAGCTCACTGTATTGAAATTATTTCCTTACATGTTTGTATTCTCTACCGGACAATGAATTCTTTGAGAGCAATGTGCCTTATTCATTTCTGTATACTCAATGCATGGCACTGCATAAACACTTAAATAAATAAATAAATTAAAATACCAAACTTATACACATGAGCCAGTTTTTTCTTATGTGATTATAGCTATAAAAGTTTGAATCTCTCTATGCCACTGCTCCCTCCCACACCTTCATGCCATGCCTGGAGCTACAGAAAGGACACAGTTTGTTGTCAGCATAGGTGCAGAAAAGCTCCAGGTATTTTCCCCAGAAACAAATAGTCAGGTCTCCTATTGTAGAAAGTGATATAAGTCAGATTCAAGAAAGAGTTTTGCATCTATTTAGGAGATGGAGGACATTCTACTGTAGTAAGAAAAGCAAGCTGTGTCTAGATTCCTTCTAGAGAAGCAGTCTAGTTGTAAGTGAGGGAATAAGATGCCATAGGAAGGCACAAAATGGCAGCATGAAATACTGAAAAATGTGAGAAGACTTTGATTAGTGGGGGTTCAGCAAAGACAGTGAGGAAGAGGCTGGGTTTCCTTGCTAGGAACTGACCCGTAAGCAGATATATGTAGAGAGCAAAGATTCAAGAGCATCCTCCTACTTCAAGATAATCTCCACAGATCATCCAGTTCTCTTTGCCTTGGCTTGGTATTTCTAAGAAACTTTATAAACCTTATTCATTTTTCTGAATAGGCTTTCCTCTGGGGACATCTACTGACTGCTGCTGAGAGGCTTAAATGAGATCATTGGTGAGAAAGCCTCAAGCTCAGTGTTTGACATGTAACGTGCTCAAAACAAATGGCAGCTGAATCTGAATCACTGTAAATTAGCAAATTAATTCTCTGGTTTACAAATCAGACTTGGGTGAGCCTGAGCATGACTTTAATGAGTCAACCTGCAAGGCTCTGGAACATAAGGTGTTTGGGAAAAAACTCTCAAACTGTGATTTCCTTTTGCTTTCACACCACTACCACAATAACTATCAACACAGAGAAGACCTCTGTGAACAGATGTGTGAGGGTTTCTCTTTACCACAAAGCAAGCAATTAATTCTACAGTGGACACCAACTCTGTGTCTTCCAATTCAATTCTGATACATCTACCTGGAGATAGTGTCAGATCCCATAGGTTGAGGGCTCAATCCCCAAGACTGCCTCCCCAACCAGTCTTAAGTCCATCCAGGGCTCTGGAACTTCTGACCAACTGGCCTAAGTTGGGGTTCCCATGCCCCTGTCTTTGGGTTTGATTAATTTTCTGGCGTGGCTTACAGAGCTCAGAGAAACATATGCTTATGTTTTCCAATTTATTATAAAGGATATTACAAATGATACAGATGATGGCCGGGTGCGGTCACTCACGTCTGTAATCCCAGCACTTCGGGAGGCCAAGGCAGGCAGATCATAGATTCACCTGGCCAACATGGTGAAACCCCATCTCTACCAAAAATACAAAAAAGTAGCTGGGTGCAGTGGTGGGTGCCTGTAATCCCAGCTACTGGGGAGGCTGAGGCGAGAATGCTTGTGCCCAGGAGGCAGAGGTTGTAGTGAGCCAAGATCACACCACTGCACTCCAGCCTGGGTGATAAGGTGAGACTGTGTCTCAAAAAACAAAACAAAACAAATGATACAGATGGAGAGCTGTGTAGGGTGAGGTATGGGGAAAGAGGAATGGGGGAAGGGACATGGAGCTTCCATGCCCTCCCTGGGCATGTCACCCTCCAGGAACCTGCACATGTTCAGCTATCCTGAAGCTCTCGGAACCCAATCCTCTTGGGTTTTTATGGAAAATTCTTGACATCAGCATTCTTTCTCCCAGGGTATGGGGCAAGAGCCTCTCTGAAATGAGGGCCTTATGACCTACAATGAGAAAGGTGGAGCAATATTAGAGTCCGGCCTTTGGGCAGGTGAAAGGAGGACAGGAGAAGGTCAAAGAGATTCGGTTTCCTGAGTCCTGCCCCTGAGGCCTAACACACCCAACCTAATAACAAAAGACTGTAACAAGGGCTATGGTAGCTATGACTCAGGAACTGTGGATGAAAACCTATATATATATATATGTGTGTATATATATATATATACACACACACACACATATACACACACACACATATATATGTATATATGTGTGTATATATATGTATGTGTGTGTGTGTGTACATATATATATATATATATATATATATATATATATATATATATATAATAACACCACAGAAGGTATAAGAGCTTGGCCTACAGGGAGCAAAGCCTGCAGCTCAGCCCAGCACAGCCTGCTCTGGCATCATAACAGGATTCAACTTGGCTCTGCACACTGCCCGTTAGCTTAAAGCAGGACTTATGTGAGAGACTTCTGGAGTACTGGGAAAACAAATTATTGTCCTGCCCTCTGCTTTTGTCTAGTAATAATCCCTTCCTCATCGAAAAAATGAGATTGAGAGCATGTGCTTTGGGTAAGGAAACTTGCAGCAACGAAGTGAAGGGGTCAAGGAATAAAACACTAAAATCACAGAGGCTCAAACAGCAGGGAAAGAAAATTGCTCAATCAAAGCCTCAAAACTCTCCCACTTTTAATGAAATATGCGACTTGTGATAATAATGTATAGTTCGTACTTGGATTATTCTAGGGATTTAAATCTTTAGAATGTTTCTGTGTTGTCTTATTTCCATTTTTCAATAACTATGGAAGATTTTGAAGTTTGATCAGATACTCTAACCACAGATTTACATTAGAAGGCTTAAGAAACAAGGGATACTATATTAGTCATATGTATCCTGAACACCTCCAAGTTCTCCAGCCTTCTGGAGGCACCACCTTGTTTGAAATTTATGAGAACTAATTCAGGCTTCCAACTGAAATAACCAGAAGTCCAAGACTCTTGATATTTTTGCAGGTATTCAAGAAGAGGGGCTAACACTGACTTAAAGCTGCCTGTAACTTCTTACTTTCAATGAGTCATTGAGAACCTCTCACCATTACCTCATTGGGCACTGCCTGCTCCAACTCTTTCTTGTTCCTTCTCCTATGTAAAAATGAAAATGCCTTTTTTTTTATTATCCAAAGCAGTACTGCATTAAGTCAATGCTAGTGTGGTTATAGAATTGGTGACAGATTGTCCTGAAGATTTGGGGGATAATGAAGGGCGTTTCTGCCCAGATCCAAAAGTAACTAAAAATTAAACACCAGTCATCACTATTCTAAGTTTCTTGCCTCCACACCATTATTAATCAGCTCTCTTCTTAGTACCAATCTGTTGTTTTCTTGTTGGAATCTACTACTCTACCTTCTCATCTCTTCCTTGAATTATTGGGCTCCAATTTATTATTTCTCAGACAGCTCACCACACCTGGACATCTATGTCTCTATATCTTTTTATTTCTCTATCATCTGTCAAACTACCTATCTATGTAACAGGATATCAACTATGGCTTTTCGCTCTATCTAGAAGTTCCAGGAGGGAATTCAACACTGACTATCATAGCTGCTAGATCATCTGAAACAAAATATATTAAGATTGTGTGTGACCACAGGAGAGTATAAAAGAACAGAGGAGAGAGGTCTTTAACTCTTACTTCACATGTGCTGAGGGATGCTTCCAGAAACTCACTGGTAAGCTTGGGCTGTCCTCACTGATACTTAGGAACCTGATTTACACCTACAATTTATATAGTAAAGAACCTAAAGGGAACCATTTGTAGCAAGAAAGAAAAGGTACAGGGCTGAATTCAAAATGGCCTGCTCTTCTAGATATGGATCAGATGTAAACTAATGTAGGAGCTGAAATTAGGCCATCTTGAAAGAGTCTGCCCTAAAGGATAGCCTGAGAGGGCCTGGTGATCCCATGAGAGGAAGTATGTGTGAGATGGACCACTAGATGCTGGGACTTAGGGAAACATCATGAATAATCATCTAGAAATGGCAGAGGTGACGTGTTTCATGACAAGTGAATAGCAGGGGAGAGATCCATAGTAATGAAGGTTTCTGAAGACCCCAGAGAGGGCCCTCGTGAAAGAGAAAGAGAAGGAGGGATAAAGAGACAGACAGAGAAAGAGAGAGGAAGAGAGAAGGAAGAGCACTTTTGGTGGCCACCAATGTCAGGGACAACCATACCAGTTAAGTAAAAACTTTCTGCCTCATCTCTCTTCTCCCATCATCCTCTCTATTTCTGGAAAAAACAGAGATAGCCTAGAGAGTAGAAAGAAAGGGAAATAAGAGCAAAGCTCAGAAGCTGATTAAGCACCTCATCTCTACTGCATATCTCCAAGTCTAAATCAGGCCCAAGATGCAAGATGACCGGGAAGAAGGTTTGACTTATATAGGAGAATAAGGCTTCGATATTAGTCTGGCCTAAACTGGGCATTTTGTATCAAAAGATAGCATTCACTTATATATGACAGTGATGGATAATGCTATTTTATGCTTCTGAGATTTCATCCAGAGGCAAGAAAATGATTGACAATACTTATCGGAAGGCAGTGGCATAGAACAACAACAAAATGCTAATTTATATTTTCACCTTTACTGAGCACAGATCATTCAATAAAACAGTTTCTCTATCTCTCTCTAATTCTGTCTCTCTCTTGTTGTCTCTATCTTTCTTTCTTGCTCTCTCTCCACACAAACACACACACACACACACACACACACACACAGGGAACAGGAGAGAGAAAGAAAAGAAAAATAGAAGACAGAGAGAGAGAGAGAGACATACAAAGAGAGAAAAAGACCTTTTGTTTGTGTGAAAATAAATTTAGCTTTCTTTGTTTCAACTCCTTTCTCCTAGATATAAGCGTAGAGCTTTCTCTTGCATAAGCGAAAGTTCATGTTTGTTTGTTTTGGTTTTGAATAAAATAATATGTCACCTTTCTCACATGAATTTTAATTGATTCTTCAGCTCTCCTGGTGCATGAGCTGCCACAGTTGTCTTCCTTCATTGACTATGTATCTTTTCATTCCTCCCCACTACACGTAAAAAAAAAAAAAATACTGTGTATGTGGACATGGACACTGAATTTCCTGGAAATTTTTCTTTATAATCTTAATCTTTGATCTAAATGTTTATAAGATCTGATATATGTTCTGATTGTGATGCAGGCCTCAGAGTATGTCTGCTAACCTGGGACTTTTAAAATGGTAATGATTTAGTCCTTATTGTGGCCAAATACTCAATAGATCTTTAAAATGTTATGTTCAGCTCCTTTCTCTTACAACACATATCAAACCTCATGGATTAACAGAAACCCAAGAGAAAGTCCATCAGAAACATGACTTTGCTAATCCCCTTGCCTGTGTCTTTGGAACTTGTGCTAGACTGTCACAGTTGCTGTTTACAAAAATGTATGGGTCATTAATCCTTGCAGACTACTTAGCTGGCTCTTATTTGCCTCTAAATCAGAGAAGTCTTTCTGAGCCTGCTGGGAGCAGGATCACCATCTTTAAAGAAATTTATCCTGTATTTCCTGTAATGGTCAATTTCCTTCCTGGCCTTTTCCTTCCAATTAGTTCTTGGTGGGTCTTTCAGTTAACACATGCCTCTAAATCACATTCTGGTTATTTTTTACTGCATTCTTGTATTTTAACCTTTTCTATATATGTAAGTGTGTAATTGGCTGCAGAGTGCATGTAGACATTTTAACAGAAAGTGTCTCACTTTATAATGGCAGAAGAGGCTCATTCGGAGCAAATATTTGGTTTAAAATAAAGGTTGCAAATAGGTAGGCATGAACCAGAGACAATTTTTTTTTGTCCACATGGTAACTACATATGTTATTAAAATTGTGAATGCTTTAGAATGCTATTCACTCTCTAATTTACCTCAGTTTCCACCACTCCTTGGTTTTTCTCATTCACTTCTATTACTTGTCTATCTTCTGTGGGCACTTGAGTTTGTAAATTCTAGATAAGGTCTTTATTGACAAGTGGATCTATGAATAATAGCCCCCTAAATAATAGCAGAATAATAGCCCCCTAAAGATATTCATGTCCTAATCCCTAGTACCTGTTAACATATCACCTCACCTGGCACAAAGAACTTTGCAGATGTGATTATGTGAAGGCTTTTGATATAAAGAGATTGTCCTGGATTATCTAGGTTGGTCCAATGTAATCTCAGGGGTCCTTAGACCCCTGGGGTCAAGATGGTCTAAGTCAGAAAGAGGAAGGGTGACAACCAAGGCAGAGGTTGAAATGATATGCTTTGAAGACAGAAGAAGGAGCCACAAGCCAAGGAATGCTAGTAGGCCATAAAAAATGGAAAAGACAAGGAAACAGATCTCCCCTAGTGCCTCCAGATGGAATGCAGGATTGCCAACACTTTGATTTTTAGCTCCCTAAAACTACTTTCAGACTTCTGACCTCTGAAACTATAGATTTTTATATTGTTTTAAGTCACTAAGTTTGTGGTAATTTGTAATAACAGCAATAGCAAATGTATATGCTATCTGAGAGTTAATAAAACAACCATTGCACCCTCATTTATACCAGTATCTTTCCACTGCTTTTGGTGGCCATGTCAATATATCTTTAGTGACAAAAGAACTGATTCAGTGGAGTAAGACTTAAGAGTTTGCTTCTTTTCTAAAAATATGGCATGTGGCAAAAGTTGCTTCCTTTTATCTACTGGATAAACAATGGCTCATAAACTCACAGTCAGTAAGGTAATGACTTCCACAGGTTTCAGATTCTTTTACCTTTAACTGTTAGTAGGTCTTTACCTATTAATATTTAGTAGGCAGACATGGCCTAGGACAAATCTTTTCCTTCTTTTATGTAAGACTTTTGACCACTATGAATACCCACCATACCATACATATGGACACATGACAACTTCATTTTCTGTTTTTCATTTCTCTTCTCCCTGCTTGTTATTTCTTCCTCACCCTTCCTTCAGTGTCAGCACCTCAAGGATACTTGGTTGCCTTGCCTTGCATGCTTCTCACTCACTTCTGTTTATGGAGACTAATCTACATTTTAGGAACTGAATTGTGAGCTCAGACGAGGTTTCTGATAACCATTTAAAAAAGCTGATTTCCACATTGGCAATGATAACAATCATACCAAGTATAAGGGGTCTTCAAAAAGCTTACAGAAAATGAATACTATGAAAAAATTATGCATGGATTTCAAAATTTTTGCATCAAAATAAACTCATACTAACTTGTTATAACATGTGTAAATAGTAGCTAGTTTGAGGTATTATGAAGGATAAGATATCAGTTCATAAAGAGCCCTTATCAGGGCAACATGAATTCTGCTGAAATTGAAGCAAAACAAACATCAAACTTATAGTGAAGCTTGAGTGGAAGAATGGGGAAATCATTGATGCTTACAAAAAGTTTATAGGAACAATTCCCCAAAGAAACCAACGGTTTACAAATAGATAATTCATTTTAAGATGGGATGAGACAATGTCGAAGATGAAGCCTGCAGGGACAGACCAACCCTATTGATTTGCAAAGAAAAAATTAATCTTGTTTGTGCCCTAATTGAAAAGGACTGATAATTAATAGCATAAGCAATAGCCAACATCAGAGGTATTTCAATTGATTCAGCTTACGCAGTCTGGCTAAAAAATTAAAGTTAAGCAAACTTTTCACTCAATGGATGTCAAAACTGTTGTGCCTAGATCAGCTTCAGAAAAGAACAGAGCTTTCAATGGAAATTTTAAGTAAGTGGGATCAAGATACTGAAGCATATCTTCAAAGAATTGTAACAAGAAATAAAACATGTCTTGACCAGTACAATTCTAAATACCAAGCACAATCAAAGCAATGGCCTCCAAGAGGTGGGCGTGGTCGAATCAAACACAAACAGACCAATTAAGAGCAATGGTTATGGCAACAGTTTTTTGGGGATGTTCAAAGTATTTTGCTTGTTGACTTTTTAAAGGGCTGTATTAGTCTGTTCTCACACTGCTATAAGAACATACCCAAGACTGGGTAATTTATACAGGAAACAGGTTTAATTGACTCACAGTTCCGCAGGGCTAGGGAAGCCTCAGGAAACATATAATCATGGTGGAAAGGGAAGCAAACATGTCCTTTATCACATGGTGGCAGCAAGGAGAAGTACAGTGAAGTGAGGGGGAAAACCCTTATAAAACCATCATATCTTGTAAGAACTCACTCATTATCACAAAAACAGCATGGAGATAGCCACCCCCATGATTCCATTACCTCCCACTGGGTCTCTCCCATGACACAAATGGAGATTATGGGAACTACAGTTCAAGATAATATTTGGGTAGGGACACAGCCCAAACCATATCAAGGGCTAAAGAACAATAACGTTTACTTATTTTAAGAGTGTTTGAGGAAGCCATAGCTATAGCAGAAAAATGCCTGGGAAAGCTTTATTACAGCATCCTTCACCACCACAACAATGTTCCTGCTGATTCCTTTCAACAAACAAGGGCAATTTTGCAAGAGTTTTGATGTGAAATCATTAGGCATCCACCTTACAGTTCTGATTTTGCTCCTTCTGACTCCTTTTTGTTTCCTAATACTAAAAAATCCTTTAAATGGCACCCATTTTTTCTTCCATTAATAACGTAAAAACGACTGAATTGGCATGCTTAAATTCTGAACACTCTCAGTCCTTTAGGCATAGACTAAATGGGTGACATCATTGCTCACAAAAGTGTCTTGAACTTGTTGGAGATTATGTTGAGAAATAAAGTTTGTATTTAAAATTCTTATCTTTTAATTCAATTTTTTCATGAACTTTTTGAGGTCCTCTTGTAAAGGAGATAAGTCAACAGGTTTTATATTTTTGTTCTCTAATGGTCAAAAAAGGTATCTTTGCACTGACTATTTCTTCATTTCTTTCAACTGTCAACTGTGAAGTGTAATTTGATTTGACATATGGTGACAAAGCCATGAGACAACAGAAACAAGTACAGTTTGGATTTTCTTCCACATTTGCAGTTAAACAACCATGGGCCAGAATTTCAAGGGAGACAGCGATAACAGATGTTGTCCCTGGAGGATTTCCAAGTCAACCAGGTGTAATGGCTAAAAGAGAGACATAAAATCAGAGTGTAGGATGAAGCAGCTGTTGATGTGACTCCTGTTGTTATTGACTGCTAAAGAGTTTAATTTGAAATAGTCAATAAAGGTAGATAAAAACTGGGTCATTTCCCACATCCAGGTATTTAAAGCAAGTAGGAAGCAGACTGCATGAATTTGGGAGGATATTTATCACTTTGTTTCACTCTGAAAAAATATCTGGAATTATCTAGGATGCTTACATAGCAGAGACTCAGGCAATCACCACCTTTCCTCTTTGCTTTAGATTATATAGACCTGGTCTAACCACATAATGGAATGACATAGGGCAAGGATCCCAAACCAGATTCCTCAGTCAAATCAGGTCTAGGATATATTAGTTTGACTAGCCTAGTATTATATACAGAGATATATATATATAAGGCAACAGTATACACACACACACACACACACACACACACATATCTATGAAACACATATATTCTGTGTGTATGTGTATACACACACACAATTGCCTTTAGGTAAGGTTTATGCAGTATACACCACTCCCTCTTCTTATACAAAGCTGTTTTGCATATTTACATTACCCACTTATGATAGACAGAATAATGATTCTCCAAATATATCTATATAAATATATTACCTTACATGGCAACAGGGTCTTTGCAGATTTATTAAGTTAAGGATTTTGACATGGGGAGATTATCCTGAATTATCTGGGTGAGACCAATGCAATCACAAAGGGTGTTTGTAAGTGAAAGCATTGAGAGGAGGCAGGAGCGTGA
Organism: Homo sapiens; assembly: GCF_000001405.40. Classification (NCBI taxonomy): domain Eukaryota; kingdom Metazoa; phylum Chordata; class Mammalia; order Primates; family Hominidae; genus Homo; species Homo sapiens. The sequence continues at coordinate 90,428,628 of NC_000010.11, read as the reverse complement.
GAGTCAGAGTCAGACTCTGAATAGTGGTACACTGCTGGTTTTAAAGATGGGCAAAGGGGCCACAGCCAAGGAATGAAGGGGGCTGGAAAAGTCAAGGGAAGAGATTCTCCCCTAGAGCCTCCAGAAGGAAATCAGCTCAGCGGGCATCTAGCTTTTAGCCCAGTGAGACCCATTTTGGACTTCTGACTGCAGTAACTTTAAGATAATAAATTTGTGTTATTTTAAGCCACTAAGTTGGTAGTAATTTGCTGTAGCAACAATACAACAACATTGTATAGAAACGAACACACTGCCTAACCCTGAAGTTTTTCAGTTTGGTAAAATAGAATAATAGTTATATTACAGTTCCGGTGATATTTTTGAGTGCTTACTATGTGTTAGACACTTTCTTTATATTAACCCCTTTACTCCTTAAAACAACTCTATGAGGTATGTACCAATATGAACCCCATTTTTCAGATGAAGACTGATGCCCAAAAAGGATAAATAAATTGCCCAAAGTCAGGTGACAGTGGTAATTTGAATCCAGGTACTTGGGCTCTAAAACTCAAGCCCAGGTATACCATTGCCATTGTAATGAGCATTAGAAGACCTGGGCAGATTCTACTCATTGGACACCAACTTGAGTTATTATGCAGCCATTCTGAGCCTTGGATTCCTCATCTATAAATCAAGGAATTTAGAATAGATGACAGTATTTTTAACTTTTATAAAGAATTATTTTATCAACACCAAATAAAATCTTGCATGGGACTTCATTACTAAACAAACAAATGAAACAGATAAAAAGATTGCTGCTTGAATTGAAGTATGGTAGGGAAGCTGGTCCTTGCTCTCCCAAGTTTAGTCCCTGAGGCATCACATCAGAATCCAAAGATTCTTGAGAGATTATGATCTGATAAGCACCACACTACATAGTGTCTAGGTCTCTTCTACCACTACAGTATCAGATTCGACATGTGACATCTTAAAAATTGTAAGTTTTAGAAAGCTGAATAAATACATTGAGTTTATGTAGTATGGACCTGCTAGCTTGGTGACATAAAGGGTATTAGTTACTTCCTCTTTTTTTCTATTTTATTTCATATTTTTATTTTTGGTCTTGTTCGTGTGAGTTTAGAAGGCTCAGTGTGTTTGGCATCTATTCTCAGATCTTCTGTACTGTTGTGTCTTCCAGAGTTCAATTGGGGCCTGCAGTGGGAAAGTCTCTAAGTAAAACAGAAAAAGGAGCATTCCAATTTTGGAATTGATGCATTGCAAACTCGGAGTTGGTTCTTACCTTCACAGGAGGATATACATTTGCTTAGTCATTTTCCTCACCTAATTCAAACTTTTCTTTTGCTGTTTATGAAATCCAGCCAGTATGTGTGACTGATAAATGACCTAAAATAATTCATCAATAATAACAGACATTCACCTTGACCCTTGGCAGAGATACAAGCATGATTGAAATGTAAGGGACTTTTCGTGGTGATCAAAGAAAAACTCATTTTCCTTTTGTACCTCTGTTCTTCCTGTGTTACCCCTGCCTCTGTCTACAAGAAATGCCATAAAACTGACTTTAAAAACTCTTAACAGGAAGGAAGGATTCAAACATTAGTTTTCCAAGGCAACTTAGCCTACTGGAATAATGAGCGTTAGTGCTGGTAAGCTGTTGAAATAACAATAATTCCTTATCTTTTTTCAGTCAAACTCACTCTTATTTTTATATATCCATTCATTCACTCAAGTCAATTTCTTAAAAATTCTGAAAAATTCATTCACTCAAGTCAATTTCTTAAAAGTTCTGAGTCTGACTGTGTTCCTAAGTGATGATACAAAGTTGTACAAGCAGGATTCAAGGAATGCATAGCCTAGTAGGAGACAGACATACTGCATAAACGACATATATCATTATAAAAATATAATTATTATATTTTAAATATATTTAATGTATAAAGGGAAAGGAGATTCTAAGATCTCAGGAGTCAGGGGAAGTTTATACAGTACGTACTATCTGAGTATAGATTTGAATTATAAATGAGAGTTTGATGGATAGACAAGAAAGGGTACTATGCAAAGAAGAACGTAATTGTGCACAGGCATGGAGATATGAGTGAGTAAAGGCATTTTATGAGAACTGGAAAATAAAATGTTTAGGGAAGTATGGGAGAGAGGTTAAGGCTGGCAGGAGAGGAGGCAAGAAGCCAGATCAAAAAATGTCTTGTCAGCCATGCAAAGAAGTTTAGATTATGTTCTAGAGTGATGGTGAGCCATAAAGAAACTTTGAAAATGATAGTGATGTGATCGAATGTATGAATTAGAAAGATAAAATTCCATGATTGTATGAACCATCTCACTGGGAAGGAGACATGGCTGGAAGAAAAGCAACTATTAGTGAAGCTATTATAAATTATCCAGATGAGATGTGGTAGGGCATACACTGTGCAGCACAGTTGGTAACAGAGAAGCAGGAAGAATGGAAGGATTTTAGACATACTTGCTGACGAACTGAATACGAAAGGTAATGATAAAAAAGACTCCAGGGTAAGCTATTGACTTCTGGTTGGAGGTACTGGATAACCGTTCAAAGAAGCAGAGAATATAAATGGACGAATGGCTTTATTGATGATGAGTTCTGTTTTAGACATTTTGATTTTGAGGCCTCCACCAGATATTTAAGAAAAGAGCGGCCGGGCGTGGTGGCTCACGCCTGTAATCCCAGCACTTTGGGAGGCCGAGGCAGGCAGATCACGAGGTCAGGAGATCGAGACCATCCCGGCTAACATGGTGAAACCCCATCTCTACTAAAAATACAAAAAAAATTAGCCGGGTGTGGTGGCGGGCGCCTGTAGTCCCAGCTACTCGAGGGGCTGAAGCAGGAGAATGGCGTGAACTCGGGAGGTGGAGCTTGCAGTGAGCCGAGATCATGCCACTGCACTGCAGCCTCGGTAACAGAATGAGATTCCACCTAAAAGAAAGAAAGAAAGAAAGAGCTTGATCAGGTTCTTAGATTCTGGAGCTCAGATATGAAGTTTTGTCAAAAGCTGCAGGTTTTGGTCACAAACAGAATAGTTTAAGCCATGGGCATGGTTGAGATTGTTCAATGTTTGGAAGACCGTAAATATTAGGCTAAAAATATGGACTATTTCTGTTATGTATGTGGGACCCAGTGAAGGTATTTCTTGAAGGAAATGATATAATAAGACAGTAGTGGTGAAATGGGCTAAGATTTTTAAAGAAAGTAAGTTTGTCAGAAGCATATTTGATAAACATTGGAAGGACTCCAAAGTGGACTTTTTTCTTAATGAACAAAGATTTGGGGAAATAGAAGAGTTGCCTGAGGATTAGTCAGTTATCTCCTCAAGGGAGTCCAAGAGGAGCTGTACTTTCTACCTAATAGATGCTCAATCAGGATTTGTATTAGTGCTTTCACTGAGAAGAGCATAACATTTAACAACTGTAAGTAATTCTGCATAACACAAGTCTCAGAGGTGCTACTCTGAAAACTACCTAGCACCTGTTTAATTAATACAAGGGAATAACATAATTGGGAATTTTCACTTCACAGAATCTGCTCAATTCTTCATTTCCCCTGTATCTGAAAAACTGTCATTATAAATCAGTCTTACAGTTGAACTACTCACTCTTTTTATTATTGTATTTTGTATATGCAACAAAATGCCATCAGTGAAGGATGTGGTTAGGTTAAAAAAATAGATTATTTTGACTGAAGTACAAGGTCATATACCTAGGAATTCAAAGAAAATAGCAAACCATTTTGTTGTCTTTTGCTTTCATAATGATTCATTCAAATTGCTGTGAGATTTTATTGGCTATGTGTATTCAGATAACGGAGTGGAAGAACCATTCAAAACTAAGTCCAATTGAGGCAATAATTAATAGCCTACCAACCAAAAAAAGCCCAGGACCAGATGGATTCACAGCCAAATTCTACCAGAGGTACACAGAGGAGCTAGTACCATTCCTTCTGAAACTATTCCAACCAATAGAAAAAGAGGGAATCCTCCCTGATTCATTTTATGAGGCCAACTTCATCCTAATACCAAAGCCTGGCAGAGACACACACAAAAAAGAGAATTTTAGACCAATATCCCTGATGAACATCGATGCAAAAATCCTCAATAAAATACTGGCAAACTGAATCCAGCTGCACATCATAAAGCTTATCCACCATGATCAAGTTGGCTTCATCCCTGGGATGCAAGGCTGGTTCAACATATGCAAATCAATAAACGTAATCCATCACATAAACAGAACAAATGACAAAAACCACATGAGTATCTCAATAGATGCAGAAAAGGCCTTCGACAAAATTCAACAGCCCTTCATGCTAAAAACTCTCAATAAACTAGGTATTGAGGGACGTATCACAAAATAATAAGAGCTATTTATGACAAACCCACAGCCAATATCATACTGAATGGGCAAAAACTGGAAGTGTTCACTTTGAAAACCGGCACAAGACAAAGATGCCCTCTCTCACCACTCCTATTCAACATAGTGTTGGAAGTTCCAGCCGGGGCAATCAGGCAAGAGAAAGAAAGAAAGTGTATTCAATTAGGAAAAGAGGAAGTCAATTTGTCGTGTTTGCACATGACATGATTGTATATCTAGAAAACCCCATCGTCTCAGCCCAAAATCTCCTTAAGCTGATATGCAACTTCAGCAAAGTCTCAGGATACAAAATCAATGTGCAAAAATCACAAGCATTCCTATACACCAATAACAGACAAACAGAGAGCCAAATCATGAGTGAATTCCAATTCACAATTGCTTCAAAGAGAATAAAATACCTACCAATCCAACTTACAAGGAATGTGAAGGACATCTTCAAGGAGAACTACAAACTACTGCTCAACGAAATAAAAGAGGACACAAACAAATGGAAGAACACTCCATGCTCAAGGATAGGAAGAGTCAATATTGTGAAAATGGCCATACTGCCCAAGGTAATTTATAGATTCAATGCCATCCCCATCAAGCTACCAATGACTTTCTTCACAGAATTGGAAAAAACTACTTTAAAGTTCATATGGAACCAAAAAGGAGCCCACATTGCCAAGACAATCCTAAGCCAAAAGAACAAAGCTGGAGGCATCACGCTACCTGACTTCAAACTATACTACAAGGCTACAGTAACCAAAACAGCATGGTACTGGTACCAAAACAGAGATATAGACCAATGGAACAGAATAGAGCCCTTGGATATAATACCACACATCTACAACCATCTGATCTTTGACAAACCTGACAAAAACAAGCAATGGGAAAAGGATTCCCTATTTAATAAATGGTGCTGGGAAAACTGGCTAGCCATATGTAGAAAGCTGAAACCGGATCCCTTCCTTACATCTTATACAAAAATTAATTCAAGATGGATTAAAGACTTAAATGTTAGACCCAAAACCACCAAAACCCTAGAAGAAAACCTAGGCAATACCATTCAGGACATAGGCATGGGCAAGGACTTCATGACTAAAACACCAAAAGCAATGGCAACAAAAGCCAAAAGTGACAAATGGGATTTAATTAAACTAAAGAGCTTCTGCTCAGCAAAAGAAACTACCATCAGAGTGAACAGGCAACCTACAAAATGGGAGAAAATTTTTACAATCTACCCATCTGACAAAGGGCTGATATCCAGAATATACAAAGAACTTAAACAAATTTACAAGAAAAAATCAAACTACCCCATCAAAAAATGGGCAAAGGATATGAACAGACACTTCTCAAAAGAAGACATTTATGCAGCCAACAGACACATGAGAAAATGCTCATCATCACTGGTCATCAGAGAAATGCAAATCATAACCACAATGAGATACCATCTCACACCAGTTAGAATGGCGATCATTAAAATGTCAGGAAACAACAGGTGCTGGAGAGGATGTGGAGAAATAGGAATACTTTTACACTGTGGGTGGGACTGTAAACTGATTCAACCATTGTGGAAGAGAATGTGGTGATTCCTCAAGGATCTAGAACTAGAAATACCATTTGACCCAGCCATCCCATTACTGAGCCTATACCCAAAGGATTATAAATCATGCTGCTTTAAAGACACATGCACACATATGTTTATTGCGGCACTATTCACAATAGCAAAGATTTGGAACCAACCCAAATGTCCATCAATGATAGACTGGATTAAGAAAATGTGGCACATATACACCATGGAATACTATGCAGCCATAAAAAGGATGAGTTCCTGTCCTAGAAACCATCATTCTGAGCAAACTATCACAAGGACAGAAAACCAATCACTGCATGTTCTCACTCATAGGTGGGAATTGAACAATGAGAACACTTGGACACAGTGTGGGGAATATCGGACACAGTGTGGGGACTATCACACACTGGGGCCTGTCATGGCATAGGGGGAGGGGGGATAGCATTAGGAGATATACCTAATGTAAATGACGAGATAACAGGTGCAGCACACCAACATGGCACATGTATACATATGTAACAAACGTGCATATTGTGCACATGTACCCTAGAACTTAAAGTATAATAATTAAATAAATAAATAAATAAATAAATAAATAAATAAATAAAACTAATGGCTATACCTGGAGCCTTCACTAGCATCACTAACATTCTCTTAGTGATACAGGATGATAAGTGTTTCTTTTTCAAGATTACTTCATTACTGAGTATGGATATAGTCTATTTTTTGTAAGAATTTAGGCTACACACACACACACACACACACACAAAAGAAAGAATCAAATAAATACCACTTATGCTTTATAGTGATAATCATTGTTAGAAAACATAAGCTAAAAATAGAGAAGATCTTCATTGGCTCGGAATATTGTTTTTCTCCTTCAATGCATAGTCAATTATTGCTAATCTTTTGTTGTTTGGCTTAAATACCTGTCCCTTTCTGTCTTCACTAACCTTGGCTCTTCTTGCTAATATTAGTGTGTTCCAAGAGAGCTTACACACTCTATGGAGAAAAATGGAAGAAATGTGGAGAGCTACCCCAGCCAAGCCACTCTATGTTTGAAATGTCTAATAACCAACAGGTAGAGAGTAGAAACATGTGGTTGGACACACTGGTTTATAGCTCAGTGGTGAGATATAGCCAGTGATCTGGATAAAGTTACCAAATGTGAGGATGTAGATAGAGGAGAGGACTGTGGGGCTGCACATTTAGATTTGAATAGAGGCTAAGCCTGCCTAGAGAATTTATAAAGAGGTGGCTAGTGGTGTCATGAAATCTACTAATCCTGCAGGGTCTGCAGTAAAGTCAACAGAGATGGTAACAAATAAAGACTTATTCACCTGGAATTCCCTTTTCCTCCTTCTTTGAATGGCTAACTCTAACTCAAACCTTTGACTAAGATAAATACCACTTCCTTCAGCAAGTCTTATTTTACCAGTCCTTGACTATGCACCTTTCTCCCCTAAATACTCTGTCTTCTCTAAAATAGCTCTTGTTATTTTTCTGTTGCTTAGTAAGAAAGTCTTTCTGGTTTACTGTTGGTTTCACAGAACCCAGACCTGCAAATATCATGTAGTAGGTCCTAAGAATGTTTGCTGAATGACTGCATGAATGAACAAGACCTCTTATATTTCTTTTGCTCTCAAGAGAGTATATAAAACAGTCCTCTCATCTTACACAGTTTTTGTTGTTGTTTCAAGTAATTATTCCAGATATTCTCTTTGCCTAGTGTTATTTGCATTTCCCATTTTCCCACACTTTCTTTCGTTTCATCTCTTTCAGGCAGCATGCTTAGACTAGTTCTGTGGTTGTCTCAAAGAAAGCCTTGATTTCCAGCTGATAGCACATTTAGGCTTTGCCATTTTACTGTTTTCATGTTACTTTTCACCACATAGGCTGAAAGTGGTAGAGTAGAAATAACCCAAGAATAGGAACTAAGACTCACAAGCTTTAGCTTCAGCTCTGCCAATAATCAACTGTATGATGTAGGTGAGTTAGAACTTTGGGTTTGCAATGTTCCTCATCTGTGGAAATCTGTAAAAATGTCTTCACATTTTATTAAAAAGTCTATTGTTTTAAATTTTTCTCATCCATGTCTCAGCACCTGTTGACTCTTCTCTGCTATATCCTGCCTACAAAGAACTTTTTTTTTATTTTTAACTTCATTTTCATTGTTGACACTACTACAGATAGATAGAACATTTTTAAAGTGTTTCAGTTAACATAGTAAGAAGTAGAATTTAGTTTGACTTTATAAACTTGTAAAACTGGAATTATCTTTGGTAAATCCAAATCCTTATGTAATGTACACATTTATAAAAGAATACGTTTAACATTCATCAGGTATTTCTTGATCTATTTCTGTGATGGAATGCTCATTATTTTATATTTTTCTTTTGTTTGTATTTAAGAAAAATTTCCAAAAGTTTAATTTTTATAAATTTTATTAAATGTGTGTTAAAAATTCAAACACATTTATAATTAATGTATTTTATTAGCTTTTCTGTCCTTAAGCATTATAACAACCACCACTGTCTCTAATGGAATAGTTGACAGCTAATTTGATTTTCTAACTATTTATATGTTTATTTTCATTAAATACTTTAACTCCTTCTTCCAAATAATATTTTATATTAAGTAGGGTAAAAACTTTGAAATAATGATGCCACATTAATAAAATACTTATTTGAATGAAATATTTAAAAAATTAGAAAGGATTTGAGTACATTTGATACATTCAACATAATATGGGAGCTTGATAAAATATGAAATGCCAAAAATAAATTCGCTGTACCATTAAAGTTTTTCCAACTAGTTTTTCCTTTTAGCATAAACTTCTTCTTTCTAATAAAGAAATTTTATTCATATTCATTGGCCAATATCCCATGACAATGATCCATGTGCTAAATATAAGCTTTAATGGTTTGCGATGATGAAATTGTTTCCAGGTTCTACAACCTAAGAAAGGAGGTTTTATGAGAATTATCTAGGGTAATCAATAATTAAGGATTTTAGACTTTGGAAGAGATCTTAGTGTTTACCTTTTTCTTTTTATAGTTCAAGTAGGCAGTGAGATAAGGAGATTGTCTAAAACAACATAGCCATTAGGGTCAGTGACAGAACTGGAAGCCAGCTCTCTGAAATCCTGTTTCTCTTCTGTATTATCTATATGAGATAAGGGGCTTTATGGCAGGAGTCAACAAACTATAGTTTATAGACCAGATGCGGCCTGTATCTGTTTTTGCAAGTACAGTCATATGTTGCTTAATGATGGGAATACAATCGAGAAATGCATCATTAGGCGGTTTTGTCATTGTGTGAACATCATTAAGTGTACTTACGCAAACCTATAGAGGGTACAGCCTGCTACACACCTGGGTTATGTGGTACAGCCTATTGCTCCTAGGCTACAAACCTGTTCAGCATGTTACTCTTCTGAATACTGCAGACAATTGCAACAAAAAGTTAAGTATGTGTGTATCTAAACATGGAAAAGGTAGAGTAAAAATATGGTATAAAAGATATTAAAAAATGGTACATCTGTATAGAGTACTTACCATGAATGGAGCCTGTAGGAGAGGAAGTTGCTCTCGGTGAGTCAGTGAGTGAGTGGCGAGTGAATGTGAAGGCCTACGGCATGACTGTACTCTATTGTACACTTTATAAACACTGTGTACTTAGGCTACTCTATGTTTATAAAAAGAAATTTCTTCAATAATAAGCTAACCTCAGCTTACAGTAGCTTTTTTACTTTGTAAACTTTTTAGTTTTTTGAAACTTTTTGACTCTTTTGTACTAATACAGGTTAAAACACAAACACATGCAACTGCACAAAATATTTTCTTTATATTCATATTCTCTAAGCTTTTTTCTATTTTAAAAATATTTTATTGGCTGGGCACAGTGCTTCACACCTGTAATCCCAGCATTTTGGGAGGCTCAAGCAGGAGGATCACCTGAGGCCAGGAGTTCAAGACCAGCCTGGTCAACATGGTGAAACCTTATCTCAACTTAAAATACAAAAATTAGCCAGGTGTGGTGGCACACGCCTGTAATCCCAGCTACCTGGGAGGGTGAGGCAGGAGAATCACTGGAACCTGGGAAGTGAAGGCTGCAGTGAGCCCAGTTCGTGCTACTGCACCCCAGCCTGGGCGACAGAGTGAGACTCTGTCTCAAAAAATATATATATATATATATTTATTTTTTGAACTTTTTAACCTTTTTGTTAAATATGAGACACAAACACACACATTAGCCTAGGGCTACACATGTTCAGGATCATCAGTATCATAGTTTTTCATGTCCACATCTTATCCCACCAGAAGGTCTTCCACGCATAACGCACATAGAGCTACCATCTCCTATGATACCTTTTGAAGGATCGACTTGCAGCAGTTTTACAGTTAACTTTTTTTTTCCCTGTAACTAGAAGAAGTAAACTCTATAATAACAATAAAAATATAGTATAATAAATTCATAAACCATTTACATAGCCATTTGTTATCATCAAGTATTATGTACTGTACATAATTGTGTGTCCTATACTTTTTACAACTGGCAGCACAATGGGTTTGTTTATGTTGATGAAAAGAGTCAAACTCTGTAAAATATTTAAAGAGATTTACTCTGAGTCAAGGATGAGTGACCAATGGCCCGTGACACAGCCCTCAGGAGAGCCTGAGAACATGTGCCCAAGGTGGTCAGGGCACAGCTTGACTTTATACATTTTAGAGAGACATGAGACCTCAATCAATATGTGTAAGATGTACATTGGTTTGGTCTGGAAAGGCGGGACAACTAGAAATTGGGGCTTCCAGGACATAGGTAAATAAGAGACAAAAGTTTGCATTCTTTTAGGTCTTTTTGGGTCTTTAATCAGCCTTTCACTGAATATAAAATTTACATGTAAGAGGAGAGTAGAGGAATAGTCACTTGTGTCTTAGTCTGACTCAGTGAATCTGCATTTTTACATAAACAATAGGGCAGAGGAAGCAATCCAATAATGCAGGTGAGCAGAGATGACTCTGAGTTCTGTCTGTCCTTTGTCCTGCCCCTGAGAAGATAAGCTATCAGTTTACATTGCCAGGGTGAAATTCAACAGAACTGTTTTAGGGTGAAGACCTTGAGGCTCACAAGGAATTTCATGGTGGGCAAATTGTGAGGGAGGTATGTAGCTTAAAAAAAAAAAATCTTTGTAGTTATTTTAAAATAAAATGAGAGACAGGTTTGCCTGACACCCTTTGGCTTAGTAATTTGGGGGCTCCCAGGTTTATTTTCCTTTCACATTTACACCAATATTAAAACAAACATATGAGTAAAGAATTGTGCTACAATGTTAAGATGGCTGCGACTCATTAGGCAACAGGAATTTTTCAGATCTATTATGATCTTATGCAAACACTGTCGTATATGTGGTCTGTTGTTGAGTAAAACTTTGTAATGCGGTGCATGACTGTAGTTCAATTGCAACACAGCCATGCTCTTTCTTTTCCATATTCTCTATGGCTACTTTTGGACTATGACAGAGTTGAGTATTTACAAAAGAGACCATATGGCCCACAAATCTTAAAATATGTACTCTCTTCTCCTTTACAAAAAAAAGCTTGCTAAACTTGGCTTAATAGTTTTTAAAGGCTTTACATTTATTATTTTGTCTTTATCTTCACAACAAACTTATAAAATATATTTGAAATCTGCCTTTTGCTATGTATCCTCTTGTAGTTTAATAGTTCATTAGAGGAATTCTGCAGGAGAAGGTTCAATATGATGAAACTTTTCAGGCCACTCTTCATAAGATTGACTCTGTCCTGTTGTTCAAGGCTACTGATGCTGATCAAGGAATCAAGTGAATCTCCTCCACAGACTGTGAACAAGTAACTTTGACCTAAATTCTTTTTTACCTTTTTATTCTCAGCAAACTATCACAAGAACAAAAAACCAAACACTGCATGTTCTCACTCATAGGTGGGAATTGAACAATGGGAACACTTGGACATAGGAAGGGGAACATCACATATTGGGGCATGTTGTGGGGTGGGGGGAGGGGGGAGGGAAAGCATTAGGGGATATACCTAATGTAAATGATGAGTTAATGGTGCAGCACACCAACATGGCACATGCATACATATGTAACAAACCTGCATGTTGTGCACATGTACCCTAGAACGTAAAGTATAATTAAAAAAAAAAAAAAAGAATAGATTCACAGGGAGTTTCAAAGGTAGGGCAGAGGGGATCCACGTACCCCTTACCAGTTTTCCCCAATGGTTATACCTTACATAATTATAGCACAAAATCAAAATTAGGAATTTGACATTGGCACAATATGTACACTATGGCTTTATGTCATTTATCACATGTATACATTCATATTACTGTTTCAGGACATTTCCTTAGTTCAGCTAAAGACTGAGTCCTTGTCTGTCCCATGGCCATGAAAATTTAGGCTAGCAAATGGTTTGAAGTGTGATTAAGGCAGGGTTTTATTGGGTGAAAAGGGAAAAGAAGGAGAGAAACAGGGATCTTCCGCAAGGCCAGAGCCCCTGTTTGAATCCCAGGTTCCATGCAGGAAGAGGAGGGGCCACGCTCCTCCCAGCTGCAAAATGCGTGAACTTCCTGAGTCCCCACCCCGGTGCAGTTAGAATTTTTCCAGGGACCCCCTCCCACCTGGCTGTCTCATTCCCCGCTCTAAAAAAGTATATCTAACTGCCATGAGAATAAGGATAAAGATGAAGACTAAACTTAACTGCTTCCTGCTGACAGGGAAACGGCAGTCAGAGCTTTTGGGGAAATGGCAGTCAGAGCTTCCTCAGAGGCCTATTTAAGGGTTCCCAGCAGAAGGGGCCATCGTCAGAGGCTCTGGTTGCATGACCATTTGGAGTTTGATGGTCTAAGAACAGACAAACCGGGTTATTAGAAAACATGTATCAAAACAAAACAATAGGAAGGGTAAGCTCAAAAAGGCATTTTTTTAAGGGAGTCCCCGGGGTTCAGGATGTATTCAAAAGGGGTACATACTGAAGATTAATAGCTACCCATCTAGAAAGAGGGGAGCAGGCATCCCTGGCTCCCTTTTCTTCCTAGCAGATACCTGGGGTACATGAGGGAGAAAAGGAAGAGTGTCCTCTTTTCCTCTTCCATCCTTGCATCTCCAAGTCCCTGTGACCTAGGCAGGTCCCGCCATGAGTGCCAAAGCAGCTTGCACACATGAAGCAGGGAAGGCCTAGAGAATAGGAATTATCTGCTCTCACCTATGCCTCTATCACTGCTACTGTCAGTAGCCTTGGAGTGCCCTAGACCTCATTTACACCATGGATATTAATGTGGCCTTTATCCATGAAACAGGAAGTTTGGGGTTGGCTTAATCAACAGGAATCAGCCATGCTCCCCTGTGCTGTGCCTTTTAACCTCTGTTGTTGTCTGCCTCTGGATCCTTTATATCCAATTTTCTTTCTAGGGCTTTAACCCAAAGCCTGTAATTGAGTCTGGGACAAAAATGTGTCTCGGGGAAAGTTGCGTGGACTCCTTATCATAAGCCAAATGCTATGATGAAACTGTGGAACTAAGTCCTCCTCCGAGGGTGAGAAAGGATGTCTTATGACACCCCCAGATAACTGGTAGCTATAGTTATGCTTGCTAGGATTTGGGTGCATGGTGTCTGGCTTTGGTTAGCTCCCTTGGTCTTACTTCCCCAAAAGGAAACCTCTGAGTGATGGGATCCTATTTATTCCCTATGTATTCCATCACCTGGCAAGATTTGCAGGATAATTGCACAGAACTAGAATATTGATCAGGATTTCTACATTACCCATCCCCTTTTGTTCTTTCTGAGCTGCAGCCAGAGATTGCTGGTTGGTTCACAGGAACAAGCAGGATTAGTCTAAAATGTAGGAGAAAACTTAAAAACAATTAGTTAGTTTAGAATTTAATGACAAATGTATGAGAAAGTTTGGAATATAATTTTACTCTCTCCAGTCCTCATGTTTGTTTAAAAAAAACAAATCATAATGGGACTGGGTTGTTTGAAAAATAGACTTTGGTTTTACACTTGGCCTGATTATTTACATAAAGTGCAGCAAGAATAATCATTTCTACATAGGCCTTTTGGATTGGCTTTGATGGAACTTTGTTCCACAAGGAGTCTCAGATAAGGTATTTTAAAACTGAGCCCAGCCATGGGTTAGTATCCTCAAATACCTGTGAGTGGGGTCATCCTCTCCTCATAAGGTCCCAAGATAAACTTGGAGCTCCTGGACCTGTTAGAAAGTGACAATCATTACTGACCACACATCAGGAACCCTGTACAGGGACTGCATAGACAAAGTTATGAGGCCAGTCTCCCCACTGGGCTTTTATTGGCTCTGCAAGTCGAGATTGACTCCTTAAAGGGAAGCATACCCTTCCAGTCAAAGCCTTGGTGAAATGACCAGTTTTTCCAATTGCGTTCTGTTGCAAAAGAAAGATGGATTCTTATTGCACTGATGCAAACAACTATATTGCTGTAAGTTAAGAATACTCACAGATACTTTCCAAATTCTAAGGGAAGCAGGCAGAGAGAAACAAACATGCTCCAAATTTTGATCTAGGAGTGTATCTTAATAATTAAAGGCCATAAATAGTTTAAAATAAGTTTCTTTGACTCTGAAAAACATAACAAGGATCAGCAATATTTCAAGCAAAAGTCAGAAAGATTTGCTCCATTCAGTTTCTGAGTTTAGTCCATTTAGTTGACTCTTGTTTTGCTTAATATTCATGAACATTTCAGCTGTTCACGAGTCCTGTATGTTTTCCTTTATTCCAATGTTACAATTTCCAAAGTTATCAGAAGCCTGTATTTTAGAGGATCTGTTAAATTTCTATAGCTTATTACGAACCATCTTTTGAAAAGGATTAAAACAAGACAACAATTGTCTGTGAATAGCAAAATGTCCAGGGTAGTTACAGCTAGCAACACAATTGACAAAGAAGTTTGGCCATCTCTGTGGTTTACAACAACTTAACATAACAACCTTAATTATGATTGATAGCATATACTTAGACATTAGAATTCTCATAAATTTTGGAACATATATTAGCCTTATTCACCAAAAATGTAACCTAAAGAAGAATGAACATCATTTTGTCAATCCCATGTATCTAAACCCGTCCAATAATCCTGTTTACCTCTCTTTTCTGGACATTCCAGGGGCCCTCTGAAGTATCCGATGTCAGGGGTCAGGAAAGACAATTTTGAAACTGGGGTTTCATTTGGGAAGCCTGTTAAATATGTTTAAAGCACTCGATATTATGAAACAGAATTCCAGATTACCATAAGTCATTTATTTTGCCAAAATGATGACTCAGAAGTCTTAAAGAAGCAAAATTCTTTTATAACCCTTTTGAATTTTGTTAATATGTTTGCATAGAGAACCTCTTCTGCAAGATTAATTTCCACAGTTCTTCCACCACTTGTTTGAAACTTTGGCTTTTCCTATCTAACTCAAAACAATCCTTTAACACTAGGCACAAATTTATATTTCCATGCCTTCTTATAACCTTTTACTAAAAAACACATTTTACTGTTCTTACATACCTTGCATGTAAATCTATTTCCAGTAGTTTCAATTACATGTTATAATGGTAACTCTTAGCAATTTTTAACTTTAATGTGAAACCTGGTAAGTTGTTTAAATTGTGTGCTAAGTGCAGCCAAGGTTTCCCTTCTTAATTAAGGGTATGGTTAGTTCCATATGTCCCCAGGTCTTGCAATTGTGAAGCCCACAAGTCAGATAGTTCTCAAAAACCCAAAAAGCAGTTTGCAACCTCAAAACATTTAGCAAATCTTGCATCAGACCTGCATAGTTTAGTTCATCTATTTACATTTTAATGACACATGCATTTTACCAACAAGATTGAAGGCTGCTTTTATTTCTGAAAAGTACCACAGCTTTTATCCTCCCTTTAAAAAATATTAGATGCAAGCAGTTGTCTTTCTTTAGGCCAAATTAACTAGAGCTCTTTTCCAGACATTACACACAACACATACACAGACAGGCACAAGAAAACCCAGTTGCTGGGTAGAGCCCTTTAAGAGACAGGGGTAGGAAAACATGCAGACATCAAACCATAAAGAAAGTTATTCCCTAAGATAGGATTGCTAAACAAAGCCTTGCCACCAGAGTTACAAGTCATACCCTCAGGATGTAAAACAAGATGGAGGCTTGATTTTACAACCAAAACTTTGCAGAGAATACGAACAGTGATAGTTGGGGTGCTATCACCATAGCAATAGTCCGTAGACTATTTTATTTATCTCTGCTCTGATTTTTACTTTTTCCTTCCTTCTAATAACTTTGGACTTAGTTTGATCTTATTCTAGCTCCTTGAGGTGTAGCATTATTTATTTGTGATCTTTTTATATAATATTTCCTTATGTAGGTCTTTATTACTATAAACTTCCATCTTAGAACTGTTTTTACTGCATCTTATAAGTTTTAGTATGTTGTGTTTCCATTTGTTTTGGCTCAATTTTTTTTTAAATTATTCCTGTAGTTTCTTCTTTGCTGCATTTATTTTTTGAGGTGTGTGGTGTTTAATTTCCACATATTTGTGAATGTTTCAGTTTTTTTTCTTATTTGTTGATTTCTAGTTTTGTACCATCATAGTCAGAAAAGATGTTTAGTATGATTTCAATCTTCTTAAATATCAAGATTAACAATCTTCAAGATTTGTTTTGTTGCCTAACATATAATCTATCCTGGAGAATGTTTCATGTGTACTTGAATGTGTATTCTGCTGCTGTGAATAGACTGTTTTTTATATGTCTGTCAGGTTCATTTAGTCTAAAGTACAGTTCGAGACCAATGTGTCCTTTTAGAATTCCTCTCTGGATAAGCTACATTGTTGAAAGTGGGGTATCGAAGTACTCTACAATTGTTGTATTTCTGTCTCTTTCTCCCTTCAGATATGTTAATATTTACTTTATGTATTTAGGGGCTTTAATGTTAGGGGCATAGTATATTGACTGTTGTTTTATCCTCTTGATGAATTGACCAGTTTATCATTACATAATGACTTTTTTGTCTCTTCTTAGTTTTTGAGTTAAAGTCTATTTGTTTAAGTATAGTTACCCTTGTTCTCTTTTAAGTTTCTAGTTGCATGGAATAGCTTTTATCATCCATTTCCTTTCAGGCTATGTGTGTCCTTACAGGTGAAGTGAGTCTCTCACAGGCAGCATGTAGTTTGGTCTTATGTTTGTATCCATTTAGCCACTCCATATTTTTTGATTGGATAATTTGATCCATTTACATTTAAAGTAATTATTGATAAATACAGACTTACTATTGCCATTCTATTAATTGTTTTCTTGCTGTTTTATAGATTCCTTCTTCCTTTCTTGCTGTCTTCCTTTGTGATTTGATGATTTTCTATAGTGTTTTGCTTTGATTCCTTTCTCTCTACCTTTTGAGTAATCTATTGCAGATTTTTTTCTTTGTGGTTACCTTGAGTTTTATAAAACGTAGTTTTAACAGTTTGATTTAAGATAATAACTTTATTCACATATATAACTCTATACTTTTGCTGTCCCCACATTTTAGGTTTCTGTTGTACAATTTACATCTTTTTACTGTGTGTATGATTAACAAATTATTGTAGTTATAGTTATTTTTAATGTTTTCATTTCTCGCTGAGTTTTATACTTTTATATGTTTTCATGTTACCGATTAGCATCCTTTCAATTAAGCTTAAAATTTTTCCTTTAGCATTTTTGAGAGGTGAAGACCGCTGGTCTTCTTGGTCAGACGGGGACTTGGAGAACTTTTTTGTCTAGCTAAAGGATTGTAAAAGCACCAATCAACACTCTGTAAAAATGGACCTATCAGCATTCTGTAAAATGGACCAATCAGCAGGATGTGGGCGGGGCCAACTAAGGGACTAAAAACTGGCCACCTGAGCCAGCAGCGGCAACCTGCTTGGGTCCCCTTCCACACTGTGGAAGCTTTGTTATTTCACTCTTCACAATAAATCTTGCTGCTGCTCACTCTTTGGGTCCGCACTACTTTTATGAGCTGTAACACTCACTGTGAAGGTCTGTGGCTTCATTCCTGAAGTCAGACCGCGAACCCACAGGGAGGAACAAACAACTCCAGAAGCGCCACCTTTAAGAGATGTAACACTTACTGCGAAGGTCTGCGGCTTCACTCTTGAAGTCAGCGAGACCACACACCCACCGGAAGGAAGAAACTCTGGACTCATGTGAACATCTGAAGGAACAAACTCTGGACACACCATCTTTAAGAACTGTAACACTCACCGCAAGGGTCCACAGCTTCATTCTTGAAGTCAGTGAGACCAAGAACCCACTGGAAGGAATAAATTCTGGACACATTTTTGTATGGCCATTCTAGTGGTGGTGAACTCCCTAATCTTTTGTTTGTCTGAGAAAGTCTTTATCTCCTCTCATTTCTGAAGGACAACTTTGCTGGATAAAGTAGTCTTGTTTGGTAGTTCTTTTTATTTTTCTTTTAGTACTTTGACTGTAACATCCCATTATATTTTAATGTCGTTCTCAATGTAGGTAGAGGAAATATATAAGACAATTATTTTATAAATATTAAAGAGGGTAAGGAGTAAAGAGTATAAAAGGTAAAGGGGATAATTTTTAATACTTTACTCAAACTGATAAAATATTGACATCATAGACTGTGGTAAGTTTTGTATATATAAATTAATACCTAGAGTAACTACTAAAAAAGCTACAAAAGGATATTCACCTAAATATACATTAAATAAATCAAATGGGAATATAAAAATTTTCAATCTATGAAAAGCATGAAAAAAGAAATATAAAACAGAGATAAACAGAAAACAAAAAATAAGATGTCAGATTTAAAATATCAAGTTTTACATTAAAATCAAGTGGTCTAAATATGCCAATTAGAAAAAAGAGATGAGGACAGTAACATAGCAGAATAGGCGCTTTCTATGGTCATCCCCCTCACCTATAGAAGGATTGATTTTGACTGCTATCCATGAAAGAGAGTGTCCTGTGGGAGTCTAAGAGTCTAGTGGAGAAGTTCCAGCATGGTGTTGGTGTGGAGGAAAAGCTAAATATTACATTTGAACTCAATTGAACATGGACACAAACAATGGTCACCAAGTCCCAGAATGAGTTGTATGAGCCCCTTGAGACATTGATCCAGCATTGTTTCAGACAAGTCTCTATTTCAATCTATTTCTATATGTTAGTTGTTGAAAAACAACAGGCAATCGCAAAAACAAGTTGAACTTTTTGTGTTCCTTGAGCCCAGTCATGAAGGGCCCTCATGACTGGGCCTCATGCCAAACAACTCGTTACAAAAAGAGCTAGGTTGCCAGACTGTACTGAAACTTAATGAGACCTCTACTTGTCTGAGCATGGGCCAGTGGCCGACTCTGGACCCCAGGCTGTTGCTTCCCATTGTGGTGGTGAATCCTCCATAGTCTGGTGAGTGCAGTGTCCAACTCTGGAGCCCAGGCTGTTGCTCCCCAGTCTGATGATGAATCCTCCATAGCCTGGTGAATGTAAATATATATATATATCTTTTCCCTTCTCCCCTTCCCATTGCAATTTGCTTATTATATAATTTCCTTATTATATCATTTGCTTATTATATCTGCATTGCCATTTACATGGGATAAAGCTTTTTTACCCATAAAGGTATTGTGTGTGTGCCTTTTCTTCTCCCCTCGCATGTCTCCTGCACAGAACAGTTGGAGCCAAAAGTTTGAGGATAGATACACGAAGAGGGCAAAGCACCCCCACTTCAAGGCAGCACAGCTAACTGCCATGGCTGGGGGAGAGAACCCCCTTAGTTGGTTATTTATTTCTGAAAGAATGTGAGAGTGTAGTGAGTAGGTGCCCAGCTACCTTAGCAGGGTGAGATGCTGACCAAGAAGTTCACTTCTTTCTCACCCCACTCAGAATACTGAGGTGATTGTCAGGGCTGAGTGCTGAGGAGAGTCTGGCAGCAGGGAAGAAAAGCCCTGGACCTAACTACTTTGCTCCTCAGACAATCAGGAAGCCTACCTACAAGATATATAGGACCCCTTGCCTCTGAATGCACTCCCAACTGGCTCATGGTCACCTCAAGTGCCCTGTGAGCCTCATTTTACCTCTCCTGTTGGCTCCACAAATGTAACCAGATACCCAGTGCAAGTCTCTAACTGACAGCCTATTTGACTCTGTGGGATTGGAAGAAGACACACAAAGTCAAGCATTTCAGGGTATTGAACCTAGAGAAAGCAAATGGGATGCTCTCAGCACCTGACCTGGCTTAGTGGATTGAAAAGGCATGTAATCCTCAGACTTCTCCTGTAACTCCCCTTCCCACAGATGGAACAAGAGGTTTGGAGCTGGCATAGCCATAGAAAAGATCTGAGAAATCCTTAGAATACCAGCTGGACTGATTAGTGAAGTATTTCTATCCCAAAGCCACTCAGTAAAGACTGGAGGATGTTTTTGCACCCATCTTTATTCTCAGTCTTCCTAACAGAATTACAGTGAACATCAGTCATCCAAAATTTTTCTATATTTAAGAAAAGATCTGACAAATTAATCTAAGATATGAATGACTAAATCTGACTTAATATGCTGTATATCCCAGGCTTATATTTATTTTACCAGATAAGATTTCTAAAGCCCAATCAACTAGTCTCAAGTGCTTGAATTTAGCGCGGTCATGGCAGGTCTTATGATCAAAGGGATTTTCTTTTAGTGACCTAAGTCATTTTCCATTTTGGTAATACTTGAATGTAAAGTAGTTTTGCAATATAAGCCAGATTATTAGTTTTATGATCAAATCTATATCCTTTATATAAGTCTTCAAACTGGGAATTTTTTTTCTAGGAGTACCATAACATCATTTTTTAAACATTGTCATTTTTGTTGGTCAAATATTCTAACTAATATTACCGCAGAATGATTATAAATCATCAGTTTTAATGAATATTTTTGACTCATGGAAAATGACACTACTGCATTTTACTGCCTATTAAATAGATATTAGCTGAACATTAGCAACTTTTCTTTCTTACTTGCTTTTCTAAAGACTTAGAAATGTCTGGGTTAAGATAAGGGTTTATGAAGACAAAGATTTTATCATGCAGGTGAAGCCTCCACGTAGCAGGCTCCAGAAAGAATAGATTGTAAATATGTCTTATCAGACTTAAAGAATCTCTTCTATCGGTAATTCCAAAAGGAGGAGGGTATAATGAGGCATGTCTGACATCCTCCTTACCATCGTGTCCTGAACTAGTTTTTCAGGTTAGTTTTGGAATGCCTTTGCCAAAAGGAGGAATCTCGTCAGATGCTTGGAGAGGCTTAGAATTTTATTTTTGGTTTACAATTCAGAGAACTGACTCATTATCTTGCAAGGTTCAGGGGACAGTGATGGTATCTGATATTCTGTCTAGCTGTGTGGCTGCTTTTGTGACTCAATTGTTGTTTATGTCTGGCTTTTATCCCAGTACTCTTCCCAGGGCAGGGAGAAGACCAAGTGGCCTATCACATGGGGAATAATAATGTGAGGGAGCATATTGAAGGACATTAATCATAACTATACATTCATGGATGCAATATTTTGTAAATTTTTAATCTGTTTCAATCCTATGAAAAAGCCATTAATATTATAGAATCCATTGTATTGATGAAGAAACAGACCCAGAGGAATGAAAAGACTTTGATAGAGAAAGTGGAAGATCTGAATCTCAAACTCAGGTCTTATGGATCCAAATACTCAGCTTATCTGACACCACTAATTCTTTAAACATACATTGCACTGATTCCCAAAACACATAATGCAACAGACATTAGGTTCCATTGTTGTTGTTAGCTTTTTAAATCTCTAGCATTATTTAGTTGTCCCTATTTTATTTACAGTCTCCCAAACCTGGGTATAAAAATCAGGCTTGCTATTTGTTTATTTTTCTCCTCAAAGCACCTAGCATGGTCCCTTATAATGAAATGTTTGCTCAAAAAATATTTATTGAGTGATAGTTAATGTATTAGGTCATTGGTATCAATTGCTATTTAGCAGAGGTCAAATATATGTATTTTGGCAGGTAAGAAAGCTATGAACCTGGAACAAGAATCATGGGGAGAAGCAATATGCAATTTTGTGAATTATGAATTTAAGTTCATAAAGGGAACTGGGATTGGGACCCTGTGGGAAGCCCTGAAGAAGAAAGACCAGGAAAATTGGTAAGAGGTGGGAATAATGTATTTATTATATGTTAGCCCCTGGCCAATAGACTTTAGGCATAGAGAAGAACTTTAGGGGAGCTGAAGGACAAAGTCCCTTTGAAGAGCTTCTTATTTATGCAGATGATCATTTCCTCCCATCAACACTCTTTGCTGACAAAAACTTTGGCTTAGGTGATGTCACTCCAATTTTACCAGGAATACTTTCCTCTGCCTCCTTTCATCTTCTCTTTCCTTCCATATTTTTCTATCAAAAATGGAAATAACTATAATACGTAATACATATCTAATTATGAAAGTAACATATACTCAGAAATTACTAAAAAGAAAGAAAAATTTAAAAATTAAAGAACAAAATAAAACAATCTCCAAAATGAACTTCCAGGAATAACCACCATTCAAATTACATGGCATGTCAGATTTTTTGTAGGTATATAAATATTCAAGGGTAGAATCTAATACTATTTTATCTACCTCTATTTTAACTCATCAGCATTACTTCTAAAACTGCAAAAATAAAATCATTACATGCTGCAGCCCCTATTTAAACCAATTCCCTATTGCTGAACATTCAAGTTTTTATAATAAGCATCTCCAAAAAACATCTTTGTGAATTTCTATGATTATTTTTCAATAGGTACATTTATAAAAGTGAAAATTTGGGGTCAAAATATAGGAAAATTTTGAAGGCTTTTCAAACAGACTTTTCAGTTTCCTTGAGGAGTCTGCTAACAGGAGTGTCCTCGTACTCTCTTCAATGCAAGATATTGTCACACTTTTTAATCTTTGCAAGTACAAGTCCAAAAATTGTTTAATTTATATTTATGTAATTACTAGTGAAATTGATTATTTTGAAAATATAAATGAGACATATTTTATATTTTTATTTTTTCTTGTGAAAATTTTCAACTCATATTCTTGCTGTTGTATTATTTTTTGCTGATTTTTATAACTATCTATCATCTATCTATCTATCTATCTATCTATCTATCTATACATATTTATGGCTGGATAATGTTTAAGATATACATTTTATTCTTTTTCCTCCTGCATACTCTTGTCATTGTCCCCCTACTGTGTTCTTTTCCTATTTAAGCATTATGTCAGGGAAGATATAAGGTGTAGAAAGAAGCAGCCAGCAAAAAATTCTGATTTCCTTTTTATCTTCTCTCACCTCAAATCTTTAGACTAATTGAATAGCAAAAGATTTCTCAGCCAGAAAGTGGCTGAGAGTTCAGACAAAAGCAAGAAGAGAGTATTTTCCAACACTAAAAAGTGATTCTTCTGGCTGGGAAATTAGCAATACTTCATTTAATAATCACACATTTATATTTATATTTATGAGTAAATATAACTAATTTTGGTAGTTAAGTTAATGGAATAAAGCTCTTTTATAGCTATCTGCAGCATAAATACACCTCAGAGACTGGTTGTATTATTTGCAACCAGTGCAGTTACTTGTTTAACTCAGTCACCACAAAGTTGAGGCACATGGTTCTGGAAGACTGGGTGGTATAGTGGAAAAAACACTTTCAGGGCTTTAGAAAGGTCATCTGGGATCTGATTCTGTCTCTTCTGCTGACTGATTTTGGGCAATCATGCAACTTTTCAAAAGTCTCCTTCTCATTATGCAAGAAATACAATCAATAACACCAAAAGGAAAAGAAATCAACATTTTGTATAATATTTACTATGGTTTGAATATTTGTCCATTTCAAAACCTATGTTGAAATGTAACTGCCATTGTGACAGTAGTAAGAGGTAGAATTTTTAAGAGGTGATTAGGCCACGAGGACTCCTGCCTTAAAGGTTGGATTGGTGCCATTATAAAAGGGTGAGGCTGTTTTTTTCTTGCTGTCACCCTCCCATCTTCTGCCATGTGATGATGCAGCAAGAAGGCCCTCACCAGATGCCAGTACATTGATATTAGACTTCCCAGTCTCCAAAACTGTGAGCCGATAACTTGTTTGTTATAGGTTACCCAGTCTCAGGTGTTCTATCAGCACAAAATGGAGTAAGATAATATTGTATATTTTATATGCTTTTATATAAAATATTTAATGTAAGTTCACAGCACTATTATTCAATGCTCTGAGATGTGAAGAACAAATAAGAGAAAAAAACACAACAAATTGTTTATAAATCATAAAAATTTGTTTCCCTAGAACACAGTTAGTACAATTGAAGTCTTTGAAAAATAATTATTTTTTTCAGTACTTGATAATCCAACATGTAGACCAAACTTATGCTCAGGGCACCAGCAAGGACAACCACAAAATAAATGAGAAAAAGTAGATGTTTATCATTTAATATTAGATCTCTCAAATGAAAAGAAAAACATGATCATGAAGGATAAAATGAGAATATTGCTGAACTTTATCACATTTAATCTTATGATTTAGAATCATTTCAGTTTGAATGAACCAGGACAAGGCACCAGAGGGCTTTAACCAGCCATGCTGACCACAGGTACTCTGATTTAGTGGCATTTGGCCATTAAATGATTGGTTCTTTTGAGCTATTAATCACCCCTTGGCCTCTCCTTGTAGTTATTTGACATAAATATCTCATTTAAACATTCCTACTACATACAAGGCAAGCAGATGTGGGGATGTGGGAAGGGATGAGGTAACCAAAAGAGCCCAATTTTGGAACTTGCTGGCAAGAGTTTTGCGGTAGGGAGTTGCTCAAATGAGGCCTTTCCTGGGTCTCTCCTCTTTATTCATACAAGTAGTTAAGAATTGGCCTTATATCCAAAGTTTATTTGGGAACCCTTATTCCATTAAGATTGCTGTCAATGTCTCTAGACTCTCCTCTTTTAGGGTGAGAATCTAAATGACTTAAGATTTTTCAAAAGTCTCATTTTTTCAGAAGGTTTATTAATACTCTACTGGAAAGGTTAAAAATCTGCAAGCTTAATGACTTATATGCATTTGAAAAATCAATTCAGAAAGGTACCTCCTGCCAGCTACTGGAACCAAAGATGAGTTGAAATCCTTTCAGTTTCTCTTGCTATTCAACATGGGTCTCTAGTGTTTTTGCACTCTAGCCAAAAGCTTTCAGACTTAGGATAAAGCCCTCTGAATGACAAGATAAAATATATGTGCATTTTCCTGTTGCATATCTTCAAGCCAGATGTTCTATGTTTAAAAAGAAAATAATAAAAATGAAAGCTTTAAAAAGGCCTTGGTCGCATACAGTCAAAATTACATTTTATTCAGTTAACAGTCTCTAAGCTGAGCATACGACTGAATGATACATTATTTAAATAGCTTCTTATTTTTACCATCAAAAGAGATTTAATGGGTTATATTAATTTGAACACTTTTCAGCAAATGTCTAGAGTTATAAGATATCTAGAGAAAATGGGCATTTTAAAGATTTATACCAATTGTTCTTTATTTTACTTCTTCGCAGAATGGTGCTTAACTCAGTGCCCTCTTGAATACAGAAGGAAAAAGGGCAGGCTTAAATTAAGGCTGTGCCCAGGCATCAATGAGGTGGTGAGTGGGATGGAAGTAGGAGGCAGACTGAGCAATAACTGCTATGCATGATTTCATGTGGCACCAAGTGCATATTACATATCTCATCTTATTTAATCTTTATTATAGCAATATAGATGTGAGCGTTATTATTCTTGTTTTACAGACGAGAAGACTAAGGCTTAGAAGACTTAAGTAACTTGCAAAGGTCATGGAGTGATCAGGTGGCTATGCATATAATCCCAAGAGTAGTCTGTGTGAAAGCTTATGTGCTCTATGCTGCTTTTCTACATCAGAAAGGTGGAAATTCTCCCTCTCTGTTGTATCCCTCACAGAATGACCACATGATTATTCTGATAGCTTAATGAAAAGTGTGTTCCTGGCTAGGCAAACTTCTCATTTGCTTAGTTCAGTGCTGGATATAAAGAAGATGAATGTGGCCTCAGACATCTAACAGTGAAGTCTGCTCATTTTCTTAACTTTTAATATTATAACTTGCCTCCTCAAAAGTTGTTTTGGGGTCAAATGAGTTTTGTATTTCCTGGGAAAGGATTTTGTAAACCATAAAGCACTATGTTGCTTTAAGGATTTATTTTAATTTTAAGGATTTTTAAAACATTCTCTCCTCTGCTTTAAGAAGTTGAAGATATTTATTTTAACTAAAGTATTAAATGAGAGTAGTAAACATATTGAGCCACTGGATAGCATTAACAATTGAGGATAATTCATCTCTAGATTAGCTTTCTGGCTGATCATCTAAGTCAGGTTCAAAGAGAATAATTACAGGGTAGCACAAATTTTAATTTTTTAAATTATTTTGCATTATAAATAATATATACAAAATTTTATATATAAAATTTAAGAATAAAAACAAATAATTTTATCATCCAAAACAAAGTAATCATGGTTAATATATTTCATAGGAAACTTCTTTTTCTCCCTTTCCTCCTCTCTTTATCTCTATCTGTAGAAAATATTTGTATATGTGGGGATATATTATATTGGGGTCATTCAATACACACAGCTTCACATTATGCTAATTTCTTCTTGTTACAGTGTTTTTTTATTTCATTATTAATTCTTTAGATATTCTTTAATAGTTACATAACCATCTCCCAATTTTGGGATTACTTTCAATTTTTTACAGTGCTAAATGATGTTTTAGTGAATATTTTTTAATGTTTATGATTGCCTGAGATTCTCATTATTTCTTTAGAAATACTTCTTAGAGTAGGTCAAAGAGTATGTTTTCCAAAGCCACCTAATGCATAGTACATAGGATCCAAGAAAAAAAATACAAAAACTCTATTATTCACTCAAAGTGTACATACAGCTGATTAATATGGAGAATAACCATTACACTTCCGATTTTTTTGTCATTCCTTGGTGATAACCATTAAACAAAAAATTGGGAGTAAAATAGCAATTTCCTACATTAAATGCTACACTGAATTTTATTATTGTTTGAAATAATAGGTGAATTGGTGAATAATAGGTTGCCATTTGTTTGGTTTGATTTGTAATTCTTTGATTACTAGTGATAGAAGCACTTTTGATATGCTTATTGGCTCCTTCGTTTCTTCTTGAAAGACAGTATTGCTTAGTTGAGAATGAGGTCTTTGGAGTCATGCAGTTTGGTTAGAATCCAGATTTTGGCCCTTACTAGATATTTAACTTGTAGAAAATTACTTAAATGTTCTGTGCTTTAGTTTTTTTTTTTTACCTGAAAATTGAAGATGATATTAATAGTATCTATCTCATAAAACTAAGTCATATGAGTAAACAGTGTATTAACCCAAGTACATATAAGAATGTCTGGCATATGTTAATCTTTAACAAGTGTTAACTTGATTTTATGCATTCACTTATTCATTTGTTTTCTCATTTTGTATCTAGATTTGTTGATGTCCTTTTGTCTATTTTCTGTTAAGGTGTTCTTTTCTCCTATTGCTTAATAGAAAATATTAATAGAAATATTGGCTTTACAGTTTGCTGTTTTCTTTGTATTTTGGATTAGGTAGTAAAAGTGAGAAGTCAGAAGGAAGATGAAACTCAAATTGCATGGAAAACATACATCTTCTTTCTCTTTCTCCTGAAACAAGCCTAGGTTTTACCTTCTATTACTGACACACCATCTGGTACAACGGAAAGGGTCTGGGATGGCACACAGGCAATCCAATTTGTATACATATTAAATTATTCTATTCTAAAGATATCCAAGGATTTTCAGGGTACCCATGGCAATTGTGTACTCTTTTGACAGACCTTACCTTTTGTGTAGGCAGAGGTTGAGTTTTATTCAGAATTTAATAAGGTGATAGAACTAACCCAGGCCGGACTGCAAGACTTAATGATTTGGCTTGTCAATCTACTTCTGAGATTAGGATCTAATATGTCATCATGCATGCAACTCCCATAGAGTGGTTGCTGGGCAACCAGGCTGTGATTGGGTAAAAATTGTAGGCACTTCTTTGAGTCATGATCCCACTTGACCATTTTCGCTAACATATTTACTGTTCATCATAATTTACTTCCATTTGGTTTTCTGACAGTCTAATGTCAATGTTCTCCAGCTAAAAATACTTTCAAGCTTAATGAGATTTCCATTTCTCATTCTATTCATTCTCATCAACAAAACCACCCATAAGCTGCCAAGACATGTTTTTCTATCACTGAGGTTATAGCCATACTTAAACTCTGAACTAGAGTTAGAATCTCACAATGGTCTAGAGCTTCCAGCTCTCTGGATGGCTGTAAACTCCTTAAGCATTCATTCTTAATATTGCCCATTCTAAGTTTTTATTGTGGTGTTGATATACATTGATACAATAAACTAGAAAATTAACAGCCCTTTGATTTATTTTATCCAAGTAGCCTCATTTATTTATTCAGTCACTATCCTGCAGATAAGTAGTAAGTGTCTGTTACGTGACTAGAACTGAGATAGACTCTCAGAACTCAACTGTAACTATGACTAAGCTTCTCTCTTCAATTTTCTTTTTGTCAAGTGGAAGATACAGACAAGTAGAGACAATTTTACCATGCAGAGGAAGAAGTGCTATGTGAGCACAAGAGAGAGGCACTTAGGAGGACATGGAAGCTTTCCCAGACAGAGTGACAAATAATCTGAGACAGAAAGTATGAGTTAACCAGGACATCAAGAGAAGGAAGAATGAAGAAAGTGTTCTATGCAAAGTGAACAAAATGACAAAGACTGAAAGAGAATTCTCAGCAGGGTTTTCTTTAAACTGCAAGTGGTTAAATAAAACTGGAGAATGATTGGAAGATGAGAAAATTCTGACCTAGAGTATCTATACTTGGAGGGGAGATGTTAGATCTATTCACTAAGCTATTGTTGCATGACTTTAGTTTTCCATTTCCATTCTAAACAAATGAGAATGTTTTGTGCTCCTTGGTTATTGCCCTAAAACCTTAGGAATTATATCCCATAGATCATAGGGTGCCACAGTTATATGATTCAAACATTTCCATGTATATTTCTTGTGTTTAAGATGGCTGCTTTCTACTTGAGGTTTAAACATCGATTCTCTACATCTAATAATTTACAGCAAATATATAAGTAAACACTGTACCTTCAATTAATTATCTCCTTTCAGCTACTTTCCCAATTGTTCACCCAAGGCATTGCATATATCCTAGGTCTTGACTCTTTTCCTGTGCATGACTACATCATATAGGTAGGCAAAGCACAATTGGTGGTTTTCTGAGAATGTGATTGTCAATAAAACATATTATTGATAACCCCTGAGCAGCTGACTGTTGCCAGAAACAAATGACTGTCATTTGGATTATAAATCTATATTATAAAAGCAACTGCAATAGATCAGTTCTCTTAGCAAGTTTAAATTTTGGGCTTGAGAGAGAATAACAGTTGTATTCAAATGACCACAGCATTTTTCAATGAGTATTTATGGCAGAATTGAGAAAAGCAATATTGTTCAGAATCCTTCTGCTTACACTGGTCATCCATACAGATGGAATTCATTCAGGTATAAGCATGCAAGAAAAGCTTTTTTTCTTTCTGTGTGTACTTCTCCTATCTTCTAATCAACAAGTTCAAAAGAGTTCTCTTTGGAGCAGCATATTAGCTGGAGCAATAATTTCTCCTTCATTTATCCCCAAAGCCTCCTTTAATACCCTTGAGTTAAAGAGCAGAAGACAATTCACAGAAGGGGAAGCAGATGTTATTAATGACTCATTCAGGGTAGCACAACAAGTTAGTGCTGAAGCCAAAAATAGAGCAAACTCACCAGGGTTGCTGATTGAACAGCAATTACATTTGTCCAGAATTTGGTACTTTGTACTCTGATTTGTTATCTGCACATATTCTCAGAATGTGTATTGTTTTCCTTTGGTTGGAGAAGTCAATTGTCTTGAAGAATAAAATACCTATAATAATATTGACTATTATACTTTACCAAAGGTATACCTATACTATTATAGTATACTAAAAGGTATACTATGTATCTTTTGTGCTAGGCACTGTGTTAAGCTCTTTACATGCACTATACAATTTAATTCTCACCATTTAATATTTGTGACGTAGATATTATTACCTTTATTTTACAAATGAACTGATTGCTGCATAGAGTGGTTGAATAACTTTGCTAAGGTCACACAGCTAATAATTATTGGGGCCAGAAGTGCAGAGACAAGCCAGTCTTTTTCGTGGCTTTATCCCCAGTGCTTGGTACATGGTAGGCATTGTTTAAATATATTTTAATAAATAGCCAGGAGCTATGGCAATTGGAAATCATTTTGGTACAATGGGCAGGTTTATGCCATACTGCAGTCTGTTCAGAATCCACTTGTTCTCATCTTTTCCATGTGAGTACATTGAGCTTCAGCACCATATTCTCTTCTTCCCATTCAGCTCATAGTCCTCTTATGGCTGCTTTCATTATCTCTCTGCCTACTTTGGGGAGCTCATGTTATAGTTACCTACCATTCCTTCTCTTGTCTGATCCCTATTTTTTTCTGTGTTTCCTTCCCCAAGGTCATTTGGCATGCCTCATTCTTTTCATCTATTAGAACATAGACTTTTGAGACAAATGGTCCCAAGTTTGAGTCCAACCCAACTGTATTCTGGCTGTTCAAACATTTCCATGTATATTTCTTGTGTTTAAGATGGCTGCATAACTTTGAGCAAGTTATTTAATCTCTCTCATCTACAATTTTTAATTCACAAATACAAAATCAGAAAAACCTGCAAAATCTTTTTTTATTTTTTGCAAATGTGTAGCAAGTGTTTTTGGTGACAAAATCTGATATGAGGCCATTTTTGCTGCTGTTTTTTTTTTTAAATCTCACTTTGAGAACTTTTATATTTCAGTGCAAATATTTTTTTATTTGCCTCCGAAATGCTACACCAGACCCTATTTGGTTACAGAACATGCTGTATATGCACCTTATTATCTTTAAAAATTCAAACAATTCTGAATTCTGGAATACATCTGCCTCCAAAGGTTTTGAATAAGGGAATGCATATCTGTAATACTTTTTTTCTTGGAGTTGTGAGGACTAGAAATAAACTACATAACTTGTCTAATATATGGGCACATGGTAGGCCTGTGGTTGGCACTAAATTCCAAAAAATATCTTTTAAATTCACATATCTGTTTTCAACATAAGAGGAAGAACTTAAAGGGGATTATGAAAGTGCAATGAAGCAGAGAGTCAAAAAGTCCTAAATTGCAACTTAAAAAATCATTATTCTATGAATTATTTTTAGTTCACTCATACTATTGTTATATTTCTATAAGTTGATGTCATTATTAATGCCTACTCAAAATCTAAAAATTATTTCCAGACTTGATCTGATACCTGTCTACCTCTTAAGACACTATTTGGGTACAGAGAAAATATTGATGGGGAAGTGATGTGTTTTAATTAGACTTGAATTCTCTGCTCTGGGAAATCTCTGTATAGAAGCCAGGCTTGCTTTAAGCACAACTCAATACTTTGAAGCAGAAAGTTAAGTGCTACAGCTCATCTGGAAGAAATTACACATAATAGCATCAAGTTCACTACCACTAATAGGAAATATAGTGTCCTCAGGTGGGTGATAAAATGGGGTAAATGCAAGTACATGCTATCTCTTGAAATAATTGCAGTGACTATGCATTATGCATTGTGAGGTTTTAAAAGAGGAATAAGAAAACTTTATTATTAGTGTTATGGGAATGAAATATAAAAGGAACTGCTGTAGAAAGTGCCATAGCTATCTGTGACAAAATGTGGTCAAAATGGCCTCTCTCTCTCTCTCTCTTCTCTCCTCCCTCCCCACCCCCCACTGCCTCTTTCTTTTTGAAAAACAACCAGAACTATCCTTGGAGGAGCAAACTTATTCTAGTCACAAAACAATTGCTATAACAACCCATCCAATGTTTCTGTGTGTTATCTTCCCACGTGGTCCTGAGTCTCAGATCAGAGACTTTATCCTGACAATAAAACACTGGTAAGCCTATACCGATTGCTTTTTTTTGGTACCCAGTGTTGTGCTAGAAACTGGAGCAAGGCATTCACCAAAGATAAAAACTTATTAGCAGGATAATTTCCACCTCTGATGGAAACCCAAAGTCAGTTACTACCTAGGCAGTATTTCCCTTCTATAAAACCTAGAGTCAGTCTCTTTTCCAGTCTCAGAGAAATAACTCAATTTCCAGTAGTATATAAGGGAAACTTCTGCAAAACACCTACACAATCAAGATACTTGTTGCTTGAAGCAGACCATGAGAGCCACGATTCAAATCTGTAATTTTGGAGGAAAAAATACCTCATTAGGTCTTCCTATATTTAGTCAATCAAAAAGAAATTAAAGATTAAATGAAGCTAATTAATATATCCATCTTAATCATTCTACACTGTATACATATATCAGAACATCACATTATATCTCATGAGTATATACAATTATGATTTGTCAATTAAAATAATATTTATAATTTTTTTTTGAAATTGAAGATAATGTTTCCTATTAATGTGTCCATTCCAAGTATAGCAGTGACATTTCCAACATCTAATTTTTATTTTGGCCTTTCAAGTAATGTTACCCAAAAACAACTTATCCTGAATATCTGACTAGAAGGAAGTAATTCAATGAGTTAAAAATAATAAAGATAGCAAAATTGTTTTAACATATGGTAAGCTAGATAGAGATAAGCAAAAGATAATATTCTATTTTCTGGTTTCTATAAACACCTTGGGAGAAAAACTAATATCTCTTTCCTCAACACCAATTGTTGAAAGTTATCTCTTTTTTCCCCTCAGACCTTCTCTTTGTAACCTGTAAGATCTGCTATGAACTGATCTTACAGGTTACAAATTCACATGTTGAAGCCCTAACCCCTAATATTATGGTATTTGAAGATGGGGCCTTTGGGAGATTATTAGGTTTGGATAAGGTCATGAAAGCTTCACCCTCATGACAAAATTAGTGCCCTTACAAGAAGAGATATCAGAGAGTTTTCTCTCTCTCTCTCTCCCATACCCACTGCCATGTGAGGAAACAGTGAAAAGGTGGCTATCAACAAGCCAGGAAAAGAGCCCTCACCAGACACTGATTATACTGGGATCTTGACCTTGGACTCCCGGCCTCCAGAACTGTTAAGAAAATAAATTTTTTTTATTTAAGCCACCCCATTTATGGTATTTTATTATGGCAGCCAAACAGACAAAGACAAGGTCTAAACGGGTGAAATCTGAAATTTAATCAGTTCACGTGGACACCTAGACCAGGCCTATTGGATTGTGTTATTTTAAATTTCTAGAAAATTTGCTTGAATAATTGAGCAAATATGGGCATTTTTTTGTACACAGAGAGAGTAACACTATGTTAAATTTAACCAGCTGAGTTACTTCTTGGGAAATCTAGTGATTAACATATATTTGCTCTGAAGATGCCCTCAAAAGATAATGACATCTTAAAATAGGAATATTTTATGTATATATTTAAGGTATATGTAGATATAACTTAAAAGCAGGAACAAAGATCACATAATCATAGAACGTCAGAATGTCACAATTAGAAAGAGCCTTTATATTTGTTGACCTACACTCTGTGAAGTCCAGATTTCCTGGGGAGAGATTTGGGAGTTTTAATTGACTCAGGATCAATCTTGTAAGATAAAGCTTCCCCATTACAGCTTTAATCAGACTGATAGTGGATTAATGTCTTTTATATACTGGGACTCCACAATACTTAATCTGAAGAAAGTTTTCTTGAACCCATTGGTCAACTTCAGCCTTTCATTTTGCTAATGGGGAAAATGAATTCCTTAAATTAAAGGAGTCATCTTCTTCTTTCTTCAGTCCATGTAAGATTTATATAGTTCCCTTCAGATTCTCTGAAGAGACTGACCTTCCTGTTAACTTTAGCATCACTACAATGCCGTAATCTTCCTTCCAGCCCCATGTTGGCTCCTTCCCTTCTCATCAATAGCCTATTGTCTTGTAAATGACATTAACTCAACCGAATCTCCTCTATGCCTACTCTAGGCAAGAAGTATAGCCTAAGCCAGAGGTCAGCAAACTATAACCTGTGGCCAAATATGGCTCACCCCCCTATATTTTGTAAATAAAGTTTTATTGGAACACAGCCACCCTCTTTGTTTATGCATTGTCTATGTCTGCTTTCATGCTACAGGGCCAGAGCTTAGTAGTTTCCACATAGAACATGCAGCTCACAAAGCCTAACATATTTGCTATTTGGCCCTTTATAGGAAGTTTTCCAGCTCCTGGCCTGAACTATCATCAAGACTATTCAGCCTACTGATTACCTAGAATTGAAAGCCACAACTTTGGATAGATTTGAATCTGATATTTTTCTTTCTTTCTTTGCTATGTCCTTGGTTAGGTGATATGCTTTTTCACGAGAGGAAGTGGGTCACTGTACATCTGAGCAACACTTGGAATCTTTTGGAAAGCACTAAAAACCTCTTACAGATGTTTTACTTTTTGTTATGTGCAATTTCTTTGATTTATAGTCAGCTGTTCAACATTTGGATAATTAGTTTCCAAGTGTTGTGGTCTCTTTTTTTCTAGGATATATTGTTTGTCAAGTAGTCTGAAAGGAAAATTTGTCATTGTGATAATTTCATATATATATTTTTTGTTAGTCTGTTATGACTTAGAGTTATTTGTACCAGGCTTTTTACCCATATCTCACTGTTTTGTAGGAATAGAGACAAATCTGTTTCCACTGACCCTATACTAACGAGCTGAACTTAACCAACAAGGAGAGTATGTGACATAGAGGAAGTGAGAGGCAGGAGGATATAGTGGTATGAACAAGGGATTTAGAATCAAACAGATACAATTAGAATTCCAGCTCTAACATTTACAAGTTGCATATTTTGGGACAAATTATGTAGCTTCCCAAGCCTCAGTTCCTTCATCTGTAAAGCTGAAATTATAGTTCCTACCTTGTGGTGGTATTGTAATGATTAACATGTATAAGAGCTTCTTCCCCAGTATTTGGCACAGAGGAGATATTTACAACATTTAATTACCCTCTCTTTCTTTACTTCCTCCCACTTCTATCTATCAGGACTATTTAGTTAACCTACTAACATTTTAGAATGTAAAAATTCATCATTATTCGGAGACTGTAAATAAGTGAAATAGTTGTTGGTATAAAAAGTGAGTTTATCTAATTTGGGAAAATAAATAAATTGACCATCACTAAAGCCCTTTTATTAATCTTGACAAAGCTCAGAATATTCCCTTCAGCCAATAGGTGAGTCTGGTTATGAATCCCAGGTCAACCATGGTATAAGTCACATTCTGTGCAAATGTTATTTAGAATTGTGTTCCACATGTGTAAATTGAGCTGGGGAATTGAGACAGTATATGTGTTCTTGAAAAAGACTAAAATGTGTGACTTAATACCTCAGTATTTCAGGTGAGTGTGTTTTTTAATCTAGGTGTCACAGAATAATTATCTTCTATTTCCATCGGGTCATTCATAGCCCTCATGGCTTAATTGATTGAATAATTCTGAATTAAGTATAATTTGAGCTTACTGTTTATGACCTACAAATCATGTGGACATTATACCTTATTAGCTTCATCAGAATCACCACTTTCTTCCTCCATAAAAAGCTCATTCATTATGAGCCATTCCTAAGAGGGAGAGAGAGAGAAAGAGGAAGAGAGAGAGAACAATCTGTATAGGCACTGGCCTGATTCTCATAGCAGCTTTTCCGTATTGCTATTCTAATGCAGAATTTGTGCTTCCACAGTGATCCACCAACATTTAAACAATTTAGGTCTACTTTGGTGACCTGGGTCTTAGTATAGATGTAGTAAAAGAGTACTTTGTTTAAAAGGCACAAATAAAGCCAGTGCTTATTTAGGTTTGATAAATGTGGCTGTGTGTTCTGTGAGTTACATTTGTTATAAGGAATAACATTCAAAAGATGCCTTATTATTTATCCAAACTAAATAACACCGAAAGCTTAATGAATTTTTGGTTATCAACATAAAATAATAAGTAAAATTAAAAGATATACATGACAATATTTCTGGTTTTTTTTTTTTTTTTTTTTTTTTTGAGACGGAGTCTCACTATCGCCCAGGCTGGAGTGCAGTGGCGCGATCTCGGCTCACTGCAGGCTCCGCCCCCTGGGGTTCACGCCATTCTCCTGCCTCAGTCTCCCGAGTAGCTGGGACTACAGGCGCCCGCCACCTCGCCAGGCTGATTTTTTGTATTTTTAGTAGAGACGGGGTTTCACCGTGTTAGCCAGGATGGTCTGGATCTCCTGACCTCGTGATCCGCCCGCCTCGGCCTCCAAAAGTGCTGGGATTACAGGCGTGAGCCACCGCGCCCGGCCCATGACAATATTTCTAAAATTATATGCGTTTTATGTTTACAATGTTTTCTGAATTATATGTCATTTGCCTAATTTTTGGTATACATTCTTTGAAGTTGTTTTTGGTGCAAAGATCCTGTTTAGTTGTATGTGGACCATCAGAGGTCTTGTGTGACTAGGAGAATGGCTGGGGCCAATTTTGCAGGTCCCCACCTTACAGATACAATAACACGTGTGAATCTGCTCTTTGAATGGACTCCATCTTAGCAGCCCTAAGGGGAGCTGCTAGATAGTGAAACACTCTATAGAGTGTCAATCAGTATAGCATGCAGAAAGTGGAATTGACAATTGCCTTCTGTCTAGGAAACGTTTGATACCCACCTTCAGCAGGGTTCATTAGTTGTGTAGTACAACCATTATTTGAGGCTCAATTATACCCCAGAAAATCAGCCAATGCCTTGTCACTGAGGTCAGTGGATAGTGTTTCTAGGTTTTTTACAGCAGGTACCCAAACTTCTGGTGTTTAGTAATTAATTTGGACTTCCCACCTCTGCTCTTTTTCCCTGCTTAGCTATTCAGGTATGTCTTATGCTACCTGATACCACAGTGAACTTAGTTGTACCTTGTATCAGTTAAATTGTGCTTTGCTTTTCAAAATCCATTAGAGAGTTGCTATTTTGTGGCAGCGTTTCTCTGATTGGACCCAGGGGCAAGACAGTGAAATTTCAAGGAGACACAGAGACTAGAGCTGGTTATTTACAAGTACATTATCTCATCTCTTTTTCTGGGTGTCGGGGGGTCTAGAGGAGTAGGTGGATTTGGCAGGTAGGTAGGTAGCTTAGCTAGGTAATTAGGTACAGTTTCACACGTCCACACAGTTTATATGTACAGTTGACTGGTAATTAGCTGAGATACTAAAGAGGTAACCGGAGGTTGAGTTCAAAAGAAAAATTGTATCTTCTTCCTTAAAAAAGGCTTCTAACTATTATCATAACGATCCAGTTAAGCAGAGAAAATATACTATGCTTTCTTCTCTTGGAGATTCATTTATTGTTAAACTATTATTGTGGTTGTTGCAGAGATTTTACAAGGAACAAAGTCACTGCAGATCCACACTATGTTATGATCCAAATGTTTTTTCCAACTATTCCCTTCAAGTATATATTTATCTGCCTGTAAGTGAATACCCCATCTTGACATGCACTTCACAACGCAACATTTCAAGTTTTGTTTTTCCACAGGTCAATGCTAAAACTTTCACAACCAAAAGTGAAATAAGAAATGTAGAATATGAACACACTTATGTGCTAATTTTGAATAATAGGCCAAACTGTTAAATGTAGTTATTTATGAACAGTAGAATTATAGTTAAAGTTTATTTTTCTTATACTTTTCAAGGCTTTACCAACTTTCAAAATGGCTACTTACTACATTTTTAAATCAAAAAGTATAAAGATTATTTATAAGAGGAAATCTAATTATAGACCTGGTATTGCTGTTCTGGAACTCTAAGGAAATTGCTATTTTCCTGAGTGAGGTAGTCCATTACTAATGCAAGAATGAATTATAAAGAAATGAATCCATGTAAAATAACAGTTTCAAGAAAAACAATTATTTTAGATTTTTCATCGTTTACTAAACTTAAGTTTTTCATGCTTTCAGTTGAAATTATTTAATCGCCAAATAGTTTGTAAGGTGGAAAAAGTGAGTTTCACAATGCATGCCTAATCTAATAGGTTGATGAATAATGTGGGAAGCTATCCCTGAGATGGCTCCCAACAATTCCCACCTTCTGGTTTCACATCCTTACATAATCCCCTCCCTTTGAATGAGGCCTAGACCCGGTAACTCACTTCTAACAAATAAAATATGGCAGAAGTGATGGAATGTCACTTTGAGGTTACGCTATAATAAGGCCGTGAACTCCTCTCTCTCCCTCTTACTCTCCCCTCCGTCTTATTTACTATTTCTAAGGAAAGTCAAGAACCATGTTGTGAGCTCTTCTATGGCAAGGTCCAAGTGATAAGGACCTCATGTCTCTGGCCAACTGCCAATGAAGATTTTAGGTCTGCTAACAGCCACATGAATGAGCTTAGAAGCAGATTCTAACCCAGCTGACCTTTGATCTTGAGGGAGAGGCAGCCAGCTAAGCCATGCTTATATTCCTGACCCATTGAAATTATAAGATAGTAACTACTTGTTTTAGGTCACTAAATTTTAGACTAATTTGTAACACAGCAATAGGTAAGCAATACAAATTGCTATTGGCTAACTCGAGAAGGGTGCTGCAAAGGATTTTGAGGATTTCTCTACTCCTTAGGAAAGGAGAGTCCATTAGTTATAAGTGTCTGCCATGGACACAGGACAGGAGAAATGGTGGCATGTGTGCTATTCTCTTATATTCATGTTCTATTGGGATTTGGTTATGATGAGCAGAATGGCAGCCAACAGAATGGACTAATTTGGTGGTTCTAGGAAACACCCTAGTGTTAATGTTACCCATAATTCTGTTGTGAATCATTAATACTTGACTTATATTAATTGGTCGGATTGATTTTTGTGGGTCCTAATCTGGGCTAGCTCCTGAAGAATACTGATTACATGATTCAGGGAGGCAGGCAGAATCTGAGGCAAGACTCTGAGCAGCCAAAACCAAGCTTAGGTACTGGTATTTCCTGGAGTAAGCCCAAGATAGAAATATGGAGAATGAAAAAAGAGTGGAGAGAGAATGAAAGACAATTTTTCAATACTGTATAATTTGCCTAATATCAGCCCCAATTCTGGAAGAGGTCATGATTACAAAGAAAGTGGCCAAGGAAAGATATCATTAGCTTACATGTGTTGGCAGAAGAGATGACTCTGAGGAATTGCTGCTTTCCAAATATTGATACCTGAGTATCCTTAGAAGACCTACAAACCCAATGTTCCTCAACACAGGTCCTGGGGCACTGTGGAAATGAGGTCACACAGGCTCCCTTATCCCAGGGAGAATTCTAAGTCTGTAGTTAACATTGGCATGTGATCCAAAGGATTGAGAAACTTTAACAAAGAAAATTATATTAAAAAGCATTTTCTTATTTTTGAGGCCTATTTCATAGACAAATAATGTTCAGCCATGCTCCATTTCATGGGTGGGAGCATGATTTGCAAAACCAAATGCCATATTTTTGAAAGTCTGAAAGGAAGTTTTTGTCATTTCTTAGGAATTGAAATAAATATGAGTTTTCTGTGAGATACACCTGAGGACTGCTGAGAAAATACTTACATAGATGATGCATGAAGAATGCTAAGAAAATATTTGTGTAGCTGAAGTATGCCTATTTTTCAATGTCTAGCTTGAAGACTGTACTAGAATTTAAATTACTTTAACAAGACACTGAGAACGTTTCCATGGGCATTATCTAGATAGAAAGAAATGTGCGTATTTAAAAAATTTAATCCAGATAGATAATACTTGGTGCTTATTAAGTTATTCATGGTTTCCAAAGAACAAAATGTAATAGGAGCTTGTACATGCTCATATTTGAAGAACATGGGAAATGATAAGAAAATGTTTAAGAAGTTTTAGTGATATTTATGTTCTATCTTCTTATCTTGTTAAACTATGCTGAATTTAAGCATGACCCTAGTGAAGGACCCCCCCCATGAGATTTTTTGCCATGACTGGAATGTTCCTTCATTTCTCTCTATTAAAATACTCTCATTTATTTGACCTCAGAAATCTTTCCAGATGAGAAAAAAGTAATTTTTATTTCATTCTCTCACGATCACTTTGGATGTCCCTGGAAAGCTCTTTGCCATACAAACCTATTGGGACATGTACATAAATGTGCGTGCGTGCACATACACACACACACACACACACACACAGAAGCACACGTGCTAAGACAAAAACATTTACATGAGATTGAGATGAGAAATACTAATAATTTCTTTATTTTAGTTCAGGTAAGTGCAGTGGAGAAGGTAAAAAGGACCTAGTGGGTAAATGACCTTTTAATGCTTGTCATGCAAAGAATGAGGTTATCCTGAGTCTGCATCTGGGTTTCTGTCTGGGCTCTGATGCATTAATTTCTTCCTCATGAAGCTGATGCTCCTTTTACTCTTTACTAATAAAAGAGGTAAGAAATGCCTCCCCTAAGAGTTTCAAAACATGCTTGATTTTTTTTTAAGTCCAAGAAAAACATATTTAGTTGCTTGGCTGATGTTTTCTCCAATTGTTTCCTGGACAGAATCTCAAATGCCTGGTTTGGATCAAAAGAGAGTGCTCGCCCCTCACTCCACATCACTTCTGTCTAGCCCTCTTGTCCCTTCACAACAGTTTTGGTTATCTTTCTCTTCACAGCCGAGACTGGATTCAAGCTTGAGTTTCACCTTGAAGTGTTTGCTTCGCAAGAATTAGTGAAAGTGAATATGTTTAAAATATCCATTTATTTTCTGGCCACTGAAAACAATCCCATAAGTGGAAAAGCAGGTACATATGCATCCTTGCTCTTGTGTAGTCCTGTGGTTCCTCTGGCTCCAATGGACCGAATATTCCAATCCTGTCCATCCCACCATGAGTACAGATCATGCATTCCACATTTTTCTGGCCACAGAACATACTATTTCTGGGATTTTCCATACCACGCAGAGGGGTAAGCCCTGGATTTGCTCTGGTTGGTGTCACCTGAGGAGTGGGTGTGTTTCCTGGGGTTATGAACCAGAGTCAGACACTCAGTCCAACCCCTAGGGACACAATTAGATTCAGACAGACATAGACTAACCTACTACAGTCTGAGGAAAGCAATAAAATGAAAAGAGCAGCTTTTAGTTTTTACTGCAAAAAATTCTGGCCCCAAACTGGACTTACTTGGTTAAGGCTTGTTTGAGTAGATGCAGAAAGAGAGATAATTTCTTGTGTCCTCTTATTAGGGTCAAAACAAACTGCTGAGTGTGGTGGCTCATGTCTGTAATCCTAGCCACGCAGGAGGCTGAAGCAGGAGGATTCCTTGAGGTCAGGAGTTCAAGATTAGCCTGGCTAACATAGTGAGACCCTTTCTCAATCAGTCAATCAATCAATCAACACCAAAATGCTGGGAAGTGAGGCCTTGTGTTTTTTGAAGTTCCTAAGTGCTTCATTTATGTTTCAGTTGACTGAAAACCCAGCTGTGCTGAGGAAGAGCCATAAATAAGATAATTACATTAAGACAATAATATGTGTTGCTCATCTCAATTAATATCAATCAACACTATGCAACGGTTTGCTTATCACTCTGCCCCCTTCAAACAGAAATTATACTTAGTACTTCCTTCTGTAAACCCTGAAATCCAATGAATCACCAAATAATATTGCTATCACCTCCAAAATACATCTCAAATAAAGATACCTCTCTGCATCTCCACTGTCACTAACTTCATTTTGTCTACCACCAGCTTTTTCCTTAGGGTATATTTTTGTCAACTTCTTTGAAGATCAGTTGGCTATAGATATGCAACTTTATTTCTGGGTTTTCTATTCTGTTCCATTTATCTTATGTGTCTATTTTTAGACCAGTACCATGCTGTTTTGGCTACCGTAGCCGTTTAGCATAATTTGAGGTCACGTAATGTGATGCTTTCAGCTTTGTTCTTTTTGCTAGGATTGCTTTTGTTATTTAGGCTCTTTTTTGGTTCTATATGAATTTTAGAGTTCATAAATTTTTTCTAATTTTGTGAAAAGTTATGTTGGTATT
This sequence comes from Homo sapiens, assembly GCF_000001405.40. Lineage (NCBI taxonomy): Eukaryota > Metazoa > Chordata > Mammalia > Primates > Hominidae > Homo > Homo sapiens. The sequence goes on along the minus strand of NC_000010.11, from coordinate 90,386,428 downwards.
TTGATAGGAATTGCATTTAATCTGTAGATTGCTTTGGGTAGTATGGCCATTTTAACAATTCTTCAGATCCATGAGCATGGAAGATTTTTCCATTTGTTTGTGTCACCTACAATTTTTTTCATCAGTGTTTTGTAGTTTTCATTGTAGATACCTTTCACCTCCTTGGTCAAATATATTCCTAGGATTTTTGGAGTTATTGTAAATGGAATTTTCTTCTTGATTTGGTTCTCACCTTGACCATTATTGATGTATAGAAATGTTACTGATTTTTGTGTGTTGATTTTGTATCCTGAAACTTTACTAAATTTGTTTATGTACAAATTTGTTTACTAAATATGTTTATTTAGTAAACAATTATTTTGTTTACTATGTTTACAAACATTATTTAGTAATTTGTTTACTAAATACGTTTATAAAAAATATAAGGGTTTTTATTTTGAGAAATCTTTAGGGTTTTCTGTTTATAAGATCATATTGTTGGCTGGGCATGATGACTCACGCCTGTAATCCCAGCACTTTGGGACACCAGGCAGGTGGATCACCTAGGTCAGGAGTTCAAGACCAGCCTGGCCAACATGGTGAAACCCCGTCTCTACTAAATATAAAAAAATTAGCCAGGCATGGTGGCGGGCACCTGTAATCCCAGCTGCTTGGGAGGTTGAGGCAAAAGAATCACTTAAACCCAAGAAGCAGAGGTTGCAGTGAGCTGAGATCATACCATTGCACGCTAGCCTGGGTGACAGAGTGAGACTCCATCTCAAAAGAAAAAAAAAAGAAAAAGAAAAAAAAGAAAAGATCATATTGTCAATGAACAGAGATAATGGAGATAATGTAGTTTCCTCTTTTCCAATTTGGATGCCTTATATTTGGTTCTTTTGTCTGATTGCTCTGGCTAGGACTTCCAGTACTATGTGAATGGGAGTGGTGAAAGTGGCACATGGAACATTCTCCAAAACAGACCATATGTAAGGCCACAAAACAAGTCTCAATAAATTTTTAAAAATTGAAATTATATCAAATATCTTCTCAGGCCGTAGTGTAATAAAACTAGAAATCAATACCAAGAGAAACTCTTGAAACTATGCAAACACATGGAAATTAAACAACATTCTCCTGAATGACCTTTTGGTCAAAAATGAAATTAAAATAAAAATTAAAAAAATTTTTTGAAGTGAGTGAAGTGGAGACACAACATACCAAAACCTGTGGGATACAGCAAAAGCAATGTTAAGAGAAAAGTTTATAAAATTAAATGTCTACATAAACAAATAGATCACAAATTAACATAACATCACAGGAACTAGAAAAAAACAAGAACAAACCAAATCCAAAGTAGCATAAGGGACATAATAAAGATTAGAGCAGCATTAAATGAAATTGAAACCAAAACAAATCACAAAAGGTCAACAAAATGAAAAGTTGGTTATTAAAAAGATAAGCAAAATTAATAGACCACTAGCTAAACTTTCATGTGCGTCCATGTGAAGAGACCACCAAACAGGCTTAGTGTGAGCAATAAAGCTTTTAATCACCTGGGTGCAGGCAGGCTGAGTCCGAAAAGAGAGTCAGCGAAGGGAGATAAGGGTGGGGCCGTTTTATAGGATTTGGGTAGATAAAGGAAAATTACAGTCAAAGGGGGGTTGTTCTCTGGTGGGCAGGTGTGGGGGTCACAAGGTACTCAGTGTGGGAGCTTTTGAGCCAGGATGAGCCAGGAGAAGGAATTTCACAAGACAATGTCATCAGTTAAGGCAGGAACAGGCCATTTTCACTTCTTTTGTGGTGAAATGTCATCAGTTAAGGCAGGAACCGGCCATCTGGATGTGTACATGCAGGTCACAGGGGATATGATGGCTTAGCTTGGGCTCAGAGGCCTGACATAAACAACTAAGAAAAATTCAAATAAACAAAATGAGAAATAAAAAAGGAGACATTACAATTGATACTACAGAAATACAAAAGATCATGAGAGACTATTATGAACAACTCACAAACTATAAAACCTAGAGGAAATGAATATGTTCCTGGAAAACTACAACCTCACAAGATTAACCGGGAAGAAATAGAAATCCTCAACCGAAAAATATTAATAACAAGTAGCAAAATTGAATCAGTAATTAAAAAAATCTACCCCCTACCCCCCACCAACAAAAAACCCAGGACCAGATGGATTCACAGCCAATTCTAACAAAGAAGAACTGGTACTAGTCTTTGTAAAACTATTCCAAAAAATCAAGGAGGAAGGAATCTTTTCTTATTCATTCTATAAAGCCAGTATGACCCTGAACAGTATCAACAAAGCCAGACAAGGACACAACAACAGAAAAGTACAGACCAAATATCCCTAATGAGCATAGGTGCAGAAACTCCCAACGAAATATTAGCAAATCAAATCCAACAATGCAGCAAATAGATAATACATCATGGACAGGTGGGATTTTTCCCAGAGTTGCAAGAATGGCTTAACATATGCAAGTCAATGAATACATCACATAAACAGAATTAAGGACAAAAACTGTATCATCATCATAATAGATGAAAAAAAAAATCTTTAACAAATTCGACATCCCTTCATGATAAAAACCTTCAACAAATTGGGAATATAATGAACATGCCTCAAAATAATAAAGGCCATATATGACAAACCCATACTAACAACATACTGAATGGAGAAAAGTTGAAAGCAATTCCCTAAGAACTGGAACAACACTATCAGCTCTTGTGGTGTTTTCCAATAAGTCCTTGCTATCTAGTCCTGCCCCCATCCAGTCCATACAACATCCTAGGATATTCTGAAATATAAGTCTGATTCTATCACTACTTTGCTTAAAATCCTTAAAAGGTTTCCATTGTTCTTAGGATCAATGTGGGTGCCTGATACACATAGTGGCTACTCTGTAAAAGAATGACTGAGTTAATGAACACACTTTGGCTAATCATAATTTGTGATCCAGGTAAATAGCATATTATTTTCTCAGTCTTTGAATAAGGAAAAGTTGATGTACCCAAAAAAGGACTTTCTGATTCTAAATCACATAAAAGCCACCCAAACACCTTCAAAATTATTATTTGTCTGAATCACTCACATCAATGAATCACCATTGTGCAAAGTGTACTGTTGCTCGGATGGTGTAACATATTTTTCTATATGTTGTTGTCCTCTTATTCATATAGTGTAAAGTAAAAGACTGTGTTAATAGTTCATAAACCAACAATCGGTTTAAACGTTTTGGGTAAAAGTACTAAAACGTGCTTGTTACTCCTTTTTCCTACTTCTATTCAACCTCTTTCCTGCTCTCAAGAGGCAACCTCTTTCATTTCTTTCAGCTAATTTTAAAACTATTTCCATGAAGTTGATATGCTTACACTGCTATTTCTTGATTTTTAAGAAAATTTACTAGATTAACTCTTCATGTAGTGAGATCTAATATTTACCTCTCATTTTATGACAGCCTCCAATGCACTTTCCTTCTTCCCATTTGCTTAATACAAATTATACCAGCTATTTTGTTAAATCAATATTTATTGCTACATAATTATAATTATGAAAATACTATGTTCAGATGAGTCACTTAATATATTATAATCACATTTCCTTTCTTGCCTACCTTCTAGCATTAATAGTTGCATTTTTTGTATTAGGTTGGTGCAAAAGTAATTGTGGTTTTTGCCATTGAAATTAATAGTTGTTTTCCGTGTTCTTATCCACTGCTACTCCCATATTCTCTAACAGAGTTGAAGACCTCTCCTCACTGTGATCAAATACATGAGTTCCTTTTTTTTCTCACATTGAAAGCATTATATTTTTCTGCCCAATCTGAAATATTAAATTTCTAGGCCTGCTGCACAGTTTTCATCCCAGGGATTTCTTCTCCCAGCATTCTAGACATATATTTCAACTCTTGCCTCTTTTTCATTCTCACCAGGGTTGGATCCCTTGTTTCCAGATGCAATACCCTTGCTCTGGAGCAGAACATCCTCCTGCAGCTTGCTAAGCGGGCATGCCTAAACATATATTTATTCTACCCTTAAACATCAACCATGGTTCCAATGATGGAATTCCAGGCTGAAAATCATTTTCCCTAAAGGTTTGAAGGCATGACTCAATTGTTCTCTAGCTTCCAGTATTCCTAGTGTATCTGATGGTATACTTATTTTTGATTATTTGTAAATGAGCTGAATTTTTTTTCCTCTGGGCCTTTTTTTCAGATCTTTTCTTTAAACCCAGAGTTTTGAAATTTGACAAATATGTGCCATAGTAAGCGTTTCCAATCACTAAGCTGGGCCTTCAGTGAATATTTTCCTTCCAGAAATACGGGTTCTGGGAGTGTTTTGAATATCATTTCTTTGATATTGTATTAAATACTACCTTCCATATTTCCTAGACTTTCTTTCTGTTATTTGAACTTCCCAGATTGATCCCCTAGTTTTATCCTTAAAAAATATTATTTTCATCTCTTTGTCATTTTGTTCTACTTTCTGAGGGAGATGCTTGAGATATTCTCAATCATATCTTCAAATGTGAGTGTGTGTGTGTGTTCTTGCTCTCACATATTTTTAATTTCAGAGAGCTCTTTTTGAAATTGTATGATTGTTACTCTTTATAGCATCTTTCCACTTTTCTTTGGAGAACTTAATTATAGATTTGGAGCCATTTCCCACTGCTGTCTGTTTCTATAGCTTCTGAATACCCTTTGTCCATGTTAGAGGCTTTTCACAAATATTTAGTGTGCATATGTGCATATTAAGAGCTAGGCATATGCATGCATACACGCACAAATTTAATGTGATTGTTGTTGTGTGTATACAGGGCTTTTGAAGTGGTAAGTGTCACTGTAGAAAGATTAGCTGAGTATCCAGCCGTTTTGGAACTCAACTTTGTCTGCTCTGCTAACTAGTGTTTCCACCTTCTAAAAATTTATCATATTTTTGGTCTATTGTCTCTTCTCTTGTTCTCTTTGTCATTGTCGGTTCATAACTTTTACATTTACATATTTTCATATAATAGCAATGTTCTGCAAGATATTTTACATTTCATATTAAATTGTATATGTAGAGTGTGGTATTTTAAGCGTATACCATGTAGAAGAGCACATATAACAAGGAACCGTTAGTTCTACTTGAAGAGAGGCACCTAGGGAGGGTGCCATGAAAATATTTCATAAAGAAGTTCACCCTCAGCTAAGTCTTAAAAATAAAGAGGAATTTGCTGGGTAGACAAGAGTCTGAAAAGCATACAAAGATATGGTATAGGAAGAATAAAGTCATGAGCCATAACATAGCACAGTCTTTTCCACAGAACTGCAAGTTGAAACAGCATGTGCAGGTAGTGGGTGAGCGTGAGAAATGAGGCTCTGGAGTGTATCCAGCTCAGGTTAGAGAACTCCTTATACTCCATTCTGAGACCCTGTGCAAAGCACTGTGAGTCATAAAAATGAGTGAGACTTCATTTCTTCTTTCAGCAGCATGTGGTGTCGTAGACAAAGAAAGCCGTGCAAATAAATAGCAATTATTCTGGGGCTAACCATGTGATTTAAAATGTGTTTCCAAAGAGGAAGATATTGTATATGATTGAGAGAAATAATTTAATGAAGAAAGAAACATTTGTAAAAGTCTCAAATTTAGATAAAGAGAATATGGGCAAGAAAAAATTATGATGGAAGGGAATAAAATGAGAACACATAGGTTGCTAGACACAGATACTGACAGAAGAACAGGCAGTCCAATTTAGTTGGTACCCAGGTAACAAAATAAATCTGACAATGTGGGGCTGGGCCGTGGTGAAGATGGCCTAGGATGCCAGGCTGAGCAATGTTTGCTTACTTCTTTAGCCAGGAGGACCTGTGCACATAGTCAGATCTACTCAAAATGACAAGAGATGTCCCAATACCCATCCATCTCCCTTTTCCTTGCTTCTGCATAATGGCCGTCCTCACACTTTGAGCATGGAAGCATCCTTGAACTACAGTAGTAGTCTTTAAACTTGTTTTCCTCCTATGTCCATTCTCCCTTTCAATTCATTCTTCACCCATTATCCAGTAAGCTTTAAAAATGCAAATAATAATCTAATCTTCCTGCTTTTCACAGCTGACCACTGCACATGGTATGAAATGCAAATTCCTTAACGTGACCTATAGGATCCTAAAATCTCTGGCCGCTGACTGCATCTCAAACTTCATGTCATACCACTTTGCTTTTCATTCCCTATGCTCCAATACAATGCCAAGTTGGTCTTCCTTTTGTTTCTATAACATGACAAGCTTACACCTATCTCACGGGTTTTCTACTTGCTGTTCTGTTTACCTGGGATGCTGTTCTCTTCTCCAATGCTTTGCATGGCTGCTTCCCATGTAGTTTTTAGATATCAGATAAAATGTTATTTTCCCAAAGTGGCTTTCTCTGGCCATTATATTTCAACTACCCTCTACTCCTTCCTCATATGGTATTGCACTAACCTATTTATTTCCTTTGGAGCACTTTTCTTAGTATGCATCTGTGTTGTTTAGTTATGTTTATTATTTATTCCTCATCCCACTAGAAATTATCCTCCAAGAAGCCAGAGATGTTGCCTTTCATATTTTCTGCTGTATCCACAATGCCTAACATAGTGCTTTGCACATATGTACAAAGCATAAAAATGTGGAATAAAGGAATAAATGGACCAGTGATTATTTGAAATATCTCTCCTCATTCTTATTACATTAACTGCTAGATTATTGAGCAGATTCATAAGAATGTCTTGCTTTAACCAGAACATTTTTTTCATTTTTATTATATATTCTTTCTTATTTCTGTAAATAATCTGCTATATTGTAAGCTCTATTAGGAAGGAGACCAAGTCTCTATCTTTAAACATTTCACTCTTGGTGTTTTATCATAGTAGATGCTCAATAAATATTTTAATGAAGTCTGGATGATGAGGAAAGGTATGTAAGGAACTAAAAGATAACTTATGGGTGGGATTTTTTTTTTTCTGCATGGAATGCAGGACACTTGTTTCTGATTATACATAAATCATTTTACACAGTATTATTATTCCTTGTTCTGGCTCTGCTGATAAGTGAGTCTTTGACCTTGGGCACACTGATTTATATTTCTGCATTTGCAGTTTTGTATCTGTGGTGTAGAAGTAATGTTACTTAAAGTGTGGCCTATGGATCAACTGCATCCAGATTCCCTGGAGTACTCATTAAATACACATTTTCTTGGTCTCTACCTGAATCTACACCTGCCCAGCATCTATGGAATGAGGATGTGGGGGTCTGAATTTTTAACAAGATCTTTCAGTTATTCTTATTTATACTGATTTCTGAGAAGCACTGTTGATGGATTGTATTAAATGCTCTTCTATGATTCTGAATTCTCCTATGTAGCGAAAATAGTGTATATTGACCATCCGGTGAGAGAAAGAGAGAACTATATTCTTTAGCTATTGCTCATGTAGATTGCTACTGCAGGAAGTTTCCTAGGAATTCTTGTCAGCTGCAAAGCAATGCGCTGTTTTGTGTGAGTAATGGTCTACTCTTTGCATTATGTTGTATTAAATTACATTATTTCTCATGCTTTGTGTCTCAGGGAAAAATAAAACTGTGGAATGGTAATTTCTCTTAGGAAATGTTTCTGTTTATATAGATCATATAGTTCATGAGTCAGATTCTTCAAACATAACTTTTGGGGAATAACTCATGAATTTGGGAAGCTGCATTAAATTCTTCCAGTTATGAGTCCAACTTGGTACACTGTTGCTGCTTATTTTTCAGCACAATTAAAACAAAAGGATCTGTGTATTCAGTGGTCAGTGAACACCACTGAAGACCAATTGGAGACAGAAAGTAACCCCCTATTGAGGCAGAATATGTGATACAAATAATAAACAATAATTGCAAGAAGGGAATAATTTCCCTCTCTCTGGAAAATTTAGGGAAGGTCTTGGGGAGGGAGAAACTGGATGGGCAATTGCTGCCAAGAACATTTCCATGAAAGGAGGGAGTAAAGAGAGTGCAAACTGAAAGGTGGCACAGGTGCAGAAGTGGGGTAGAAGTGGGCTCCAGGGGAGAAATAACCTTTTGCTGGAGGCCCAGCTAAAAGAGAATTAACATCTGCCTGCTTTCAAGATTCATCATGTTTAATAGTGTTATAGAAAATTTCCATAGGCTGAAGATGGAAGTAAAGGCACTCTAAAAAACTTCCATGAGCATTTGAGAAGAGGCTGATTCTAACAAGCATTTGATAAGAAGGGAATGATTTTCAGACCAATACTGGCCAGAAATTTAATGTCTACATGCTGTCTACCCACTTAACGTTTCACACACACACACACACACACACACACACACACACACACACCCCATATGTGTATAATAGTTTCTGTTAATTAAATCTTTTATGGTAACTTGGTTGAGAATTCTTGTCTTATGTTTCTGGAATTTCCACAAGTGTTGAGAAAGACTGAACAATAGGTCTAAAAATTAATTACATTGGGAAACTCACCAAAACTTGCAATTATAAATAAATTAAATAATAATCACTAAGAATAACAAAAATGACACTTAATGTTGGTGCCACAATTTTACTATTTATAAATCACTTCTCTCATCCTCAGAGTGTAGTATCATCTCATTTAATCATCACTGCAATCTGTTAAGGCAGGTCTTAACTCCCAACACTCAAAGGCATGTAAGTGGTTTGCCCAAAGTAAAAATGCTACTTAGTGGTATAGATGGCTAAGAGAAGTGGTTATTCACCTTTGCAACAGAGAAGGTCTATGCCCAGTTTCCTTCATGATTTGAAGGTCTTTGGAAGTTTTGAGGTCCTGAATGGCAGGTGGAATCTTTCCTTTTGACCTCTTGGTCCCATTCTCAAAGGTGAAGTGTGAACACTCTAAAGGAGAAACAGGATGTAGGAAAAATGTTGGGACTCTGAGCCTGTAAATTATCTGGCACCCAACAGCATCATTATTTTGTGATATGATTTGAATATTTGTCCCCTCTATATCTCATGTTGAAATCCCCAATGTGGGGGGTGGGGCCTGGTAGGAGGTGATTGGATCATGGGGGAAGATCCCTCATGGATGACTTAGTGCCCTCCTCCCCATGGTAATGAATGAGTTCTCATTTTGATAGTTCACAAGAGAGCTGATAGTTTAAAGAGCCTAGCACCTTCCTCTCCCTTGTTCCCACTCACTGCCCCTGCTTTGCCTTCTGCCTTGGTTATCAGTTTACTGATGCTCTTACCAGAAGCCAAGCAGATATTGGTGCCATGAATGTATGGCCTGCAGAACTGTGAGCCAATCTCTTTTTTCAAAATAAATTACCCAGTCTCAGGTATTCCTTTACCGCAACTCAAGAACAGCCTAACACACTTGGGAATGCTGGAATTGTTCAGGGCTTGGTAGATCTCTTATCAGTCAATAGGGAAATGGATAGCTCTCATGAGCATTGTGTTAACACCCAGACAGTGCTCAAATTTGAAGACCAATTTCAGACTACTTTTCCAACAACAACGTGCCTGGACAGATTGTCACTCTGCAGTCAGACACCAACTGTTTCTGCACTTTGGTACATCACCTGCAAATTTTCCAGTCTGTGTTTTACATAGCACTGAAGCACCCTGGATACTCATGAACCTAAGAGAATCACAAGATATTTAATAAAAAGTGAGAGCAAAAGTTTAGTTCTGACTTACCCCTATGATGTGCCGGGGGCAGAGCTCAAGTAGTCACACTCTAGGAAAGAAATGGGGCACACTGTGAACTTCTAGCTGAGGAAAGGGAGAATATTGCTGTCTGAAAGCTATTTAGAAGGAATATCTTCAGTAACCAGTGAAGTGCATCAAATAAAGACAAGCAGAATGGAACTGCTCCATTGAGAGAGAAGGTAAGCTGTGGATTCTGAAGGTTAACAGCATTTTACAGTGTATTTATGACTTTCAGATTCCAGAAAAATTAAGCCACTTAATGAACACCAGACAACAAATCACAAGATCAGCCATGAGAAGAATCCTCAGCTAAGAATTCTTCCCTGGTTTCCACTCTGTCTCCTAAGATGAGCGGTTCATCTATGAGCAAAATAGTGCATAGGCACCAGTCTGCCCAGACTACATTTTTTACCAGTTTAGGAATACATGCCAATTCATGAAAGTCATACCACTAACCTTTCTACTAAAAGCCCCAATTTCTTTTCTTAATGTCTGAGAGCAGAGTGTAAAGACTTAACAACTGCACTGCACTGCAGGAATATATGAGCTGTAAAAATAAATCAATAAACAAAAAACAAACAACAACAACAAAAAAAAACCCAGCTCTCCGTAGTAAATTGTGCATTCTCTCTTTTCAATGTGCCACAGGTCATCTGGATGCAAAAAAATCAGAGCTCCAGAAAGTCATCTATTCCTGAAGCCCATTTTACATGTAAAAACCTAATCACCTCTGCCATAGTGAATCTGGGTCTTTTGGCTGGGTATGACCTACAGGGCTTAGACCTCCAAGTGCAGCAACACTCAGCAAGAACAGATGCCGTTCTAAGCAGCCAGACAATCATTTCCTGATATAAGCGCTGGGAGCTGGAGCCAAGCACGTTTCATTTCTTAGTCTTCCTATGGTGCAAAGATGGATGAACAGAACATGAGGTTTTCTCAGATAATGTATGCAAGCAACCTACTTAGAGCAGGCTCTTCTCAAATGTCACCATCTTTCTCTACTTGGAAAGTGGAGACAAATCGTTAATGAGATCACCCAACAGAGACCCACAGTGGAGGACACAAAGCTTGAAGAGTTAAAGCCTCCAAGTGGACAGCACAGAGGATAGTTTAAACACACCTGATATGTCCTCTTTTACCTTGTTTTTGGTATGACAAATGCAGGGGACTTTATCTACACTTATATTTAAATGAGGCAATGCTTTTAAAAGCACATGAGAAAGTGCCAAGCACATAGAAGCATCACTATAATAATTACTATGACTAAAATCTCATATGAGTAGAATTAAGATTGGCCCTATTATTATAATTGCATCAATTATTATTATTACAGTTACCATGACTATTGTCATGTTTGTTGAATAAGAGATCACAAGGTAGCACAAGACAGAAGAAGGATAACACATCCAAGACTAAAATTGATTGGACCTACAAAAATCAGTTCTTCAAGCACCAACACCTGTATTATTGCTATTTAAAGAAGAGCTTTGGCAATATATTAGTTTCCCAAGAAAGGCCCATTCAATGATAGGGTTTCTAAAATTGTGGCAGCCTGATGCAATAAGCAGATAAATCCTTTCCCATATCCCTCCAATTCTATGATACACTGTCCTATCTCTTTTTCCCTGGCTGTCATCACCCTTATGCCCCGGACCCACTCTCCTAAGCCCTGTAAAGGGAACATGAGAAGCTCAGGAAGCTTATGTGAAGTACATGCTAATATACGCTTGCAACTGCAAGTTTGCTGGGAAACAGTGTGGGGTGGTGGTGGAACATGAACTCAGTTTCAACTCCAAATCAGGAGCTTAGTGCCTTTGAGAGGCTTCTGAGGAACTATGAGCTTCAGCTTACTACTATGTAAAAATGGGGGTAATAATACCAACTTCTCAGAGATGTTAAGAAAATAAAATAATAAGTGAATGTAACCAGAGCACCTAGAGCAAAGCAGTAGCTCAACAATGATGTATTTTCCTCTGCTGGTTACCCCTAATCAGCCCTCCTAACTAGCCCCTCTTAGATTAACATCCCCAACTCCTACCTCCCTGTTCTCAATACTATTCATTTCCAACTTACCAATATTCTCCTACTTGAATTTTAAAACGAGGAGAAGGGCTCAAGTTCCCAGCAAGATGGCCGACTAGATGCAGCTGGGAAATGCCTCTTCCACAGAGAGGAACCAAAATATCCATAAACCACCACACTTCAAACAGATCTTTTGGGAGAAAACACTGAAAGTCAAGAGAAAGGCCATTCAGACACTGTGATTGAAGAGGGAAGAAGCTAGAAAGCCTGCTCAAAGTCCCCCAAGGATGGCTTCAATGAGCACAATGAGCCTGGCTGACCTGGCTGAAGTCAAGCTTCTTCTCCAGTCAAATCCTGAGTTCAGTTGAAAGAGACAATTCCCCAGATAATTTATTTTTCATGATAATTTTCTTATGGAACCATACAGCACTTAGAGCTGCAATTTGAGCACTTTATCAACCAGGGGCAAGTATTTACTAATTTCTACCATAGGCCAGGCACTGAGCTGGGTTCTGTGGAGAAAACAAAGATAATTGAGGTTAGTCCTTATCCACTCTCAAGGAGTTTTCAGCAGAGGAAAACCATATTACACAACATGAATACCGTAAGGCAGTGAGTGGTAAGTGCAGCCAGACAGGAACAGTAAAGCACTAGAGGAAGGTGGAGGAGGGGATCATCTTGATATCAAAGCATGAGTGTCATGGAGTGAGTGTCAGATGACTTTGGAAGCTACATGCACATTTCCAGATGTAGCTGAACAGGTTTACAAAGAGCAGCCAGCTGTGATGTTATGGAAGAACATGACACTAGAACTTAGAATATCTGGGTTCAAATTATATTTCTATCGCTACTTGTCCTTGGATTTGGGGCAAGTTTCTTATACTATGTATGTCACAGTTTTCCCATATGTCAAAGGAAGATAAAGCATATCTTGCAGGTGTGTTTTTAGGATATCTTGAGGTAATGCCAGGGGCTATGCTAGATGCTATGAGGGTGACAGAGAATATGAATGCTTTTTGTAGAGACTTAAATCCTACATAAACATGAGGTATAATTGTTGTTATGTTACTAAGTTGTAGTTTGTTCATCCGTGAGATTTATAATGTGTTTCCCCAGATAATCAATTTCACGGGATATTGTTAGATAATATGCCACTTTCCAATGGCTTCCCAGAAAACTCTTGGGGATATTTGAAACACAAGAAAAGAGCTCTCAGCACAATATTATATTAGACAAGTTACTTAATGGAATTATGTAATTAATGTCTCAAATATTAGGTGGGGAGACTCTTACATTGTCACTGATAACTCATGAGCAAACTCAGGCTGCATAATGTCTTTCCCTGACCCTGAACCCTGTTCATTAATCCTTTTCTCAATCAAGCATACAGCCTTGTGGATGCTATTATTTCTGTGATCAACATCTCAGTATTTTCTAGTACTCTATTAAATGTGCTGAATGTTGTAAGTAGCCAAAAATTTCCTTTTAGCCAAGTCTCCAGCAGAAGATCACTCCTTCCCTGGCACCTGCACCCTTGATCTACTTCAAGTATCAAAGGAAGCAGGAATTGTTTACCCCACCACATGTATTATTATTTACTTAGTGACCTTGACCTAGCAGTGGATTTTGTACCTTATTCCTTCGTTCTTTTCCTCCTTATCTTTCTCAAGGCAGAGATGGTTCCAGAGTAATTTTAGAACTAAAATGAGTCCCGTTTTAACCTCCCTGCTTTTAAATCTCCATCAACTATCCCACCACGCAGGTCACTCCTTGGAGGCTTATTATTTAAGCTGGATAGTTATCATTTTCTAAATCTGAAGAAATGCATGAACAAAAACATCTTGACCAAACTTTGCTATGTTAATTTATCTGTAGTGTACCAAATGGATTAAAAACAACAGCAACTGCATGCTTGCTCTATAAATGTAGCTTGAAAATAAGTCTTATAGACTCTCCTTTCCAACCAGGTTACTGACCTTACGCTCCACTATGTAGAAAATTTACAGCCACTGCTGCCTGACAGTTACTGAGTTTATGACGTTTTCTCAGTTTTTATTTCCACCCTGGCTGGACTGAAACCAAGAAACATCATCTGTGATAATGGCCCAGTCCTCTAGTCTGTAAGAACAAGCCAGTCTCTTACTCAATTCATTCTTATATTATCTTAACAAACCAGATTCAGAGCCAGAAAATGTAGAGGGGCTAATTATGGCAGAGAAAACAGAGTCATTGGGTGGAGGTAGGGGACACAGCATTGAAATCAGAGAGATTGAGAGCTGTCACATCACAAAGCTATTCTTAATAATGATCCAAATGGCAGCTGGGTCATTAATAAGTGACTCAGTAGGAAGTTTCTGCAGCATTAATACCGCCTTCTTCTTTGCTAACAGAACTCTACATTTATTTTGATATCTATCTCTACATCAGAGATCTATGTGCTTCCAGGAAATCTGACTACAACCTTAGTTTCAGTGGATGTGTCTTGATTAGCCTTAGCCAGCAGTTCTCCAACTCTTTGGTCTCAGGAGCTCTTTACAATCTTAGTAAATTCAGGACCCTAAAGAACTTCTGTTTTATGGTCTGGATCTATCAACATTTATCATTTTAGAAATTAAAATTAAAAAATATTTTAAATATTTATGTATATATTTATTTTAAAATAAAAATAAACCCTTTGCATATTTGCATAAATAACATTTTCAAAGAAAATGACCAAGTTCTTCAAAACAAAATGAATAAGAGTTAAATGATTTTGGGGATTCCAAGATGACTGAATAGGAACAGCTCTTGTCTGCAGCTCCCAGTGTGATCAACGTAGAAGACGGGTGATTTCTGCATTTCCAACTGAGGTACCTGGTTCATCTCACTGGGACTGGTTGGACAGTGGGTCCAGCCCATGGAGGGTGAGCTGAAGCAGGCGGGGCATCGCCTCACCAGGGAAGTGCAAGGGGTCAGGGGAATTCCCTTTCCTAGCCAGGGAAGCCATGACAGATTTTACCTGGAAAAACAGGACACTCCCACCCAAATACCATGCTTTTCCCAAGGTCTTAGCAACTGGCAGACAAGGAGATTCTCTCCTGTGCCTGGCTCAGTGGGTCCCATGCCCATGGAGCCTTGCTCACTGCTAGCACATCAATCTGAGATTGAACTGTGAGGTGGCCGCCTGGCTTGGGGAGGGGTGTCTGCCATTGCTGAGGCTTGAGTAGGTAAACAAATAGGCCGGGAAGCTCAAACTGGGTGGAGCCCACTGCAGCTCAGCAAGGCCTACTGCCTCTATAGATTCCACCTCTGTGGGCAGGGCATAGCTGAACAAAAGGCAGCAGACAACTTCTGCAGACTTAAACGTCTATGTCTGACAGCTCTGAACAGAGCAGTGGTTCTCCCAGCAAGGCGTTTGAGTTCTGAGAACGGACAGACTGCCTCCTCAAGTGGGTCCCTGACCCCCTTTTAGCCTAACTGGGAGACACCTCCAAGTAGGGGCTGACAGACACCTCATAAAAGCTGGTGCCCCTCTGGGACAAAGCTTACAGAGGAAGGATCAGGCAGCAATATTCGCTGTTCTGCAGTCTCTGCTAGTAATAACCAGGCAAACAGGGTCTGGAGTGGATCTCCAGCAAACTCCAACAGATCTGGAGCTGAGGGACCTGACTGTTACAAGGAAAACTAACAAACAGAAAGGAATAGCATCAACATCCACAAAAAAGATTTTTATACCAGAACCCCATTTGTAGGTCACCAACATCAAATACCAAAGGTCGATAAAACCACAAAGATGGGGAGAAACCAGAGCAGAAAAGATGAAAATTATAAAAACTAGAGTGCCTCTTTTCCTCCAAAGGATTGCAGCTCCTCACCAGCAACAGAACAAAGCTGGTTGAAGAAAGACTTTGACAAGTTAATAGAAGTAGGCTTCAGAAGGTTGATAATAACAAACTTCTCCGAGCTAAAGGAGCATGTTCAAACCCATCTCAAGGAAGCTAAAAACCTTGAAAAAAGGTTAGACAAATGGCTAACTAGAATAAACAGTGTAGAGAAGGCCTCAAATGACCAGATGGAGCTGAAAACGGTGGGATGAGAACTTCGTGATGCACGCACAAGCTTCAGTAGCTGATTGAATCAAGTGGAAGAAAGGGTATCAGTGATTGAAGACCAATTAATGAAATAAAGTGAGAAGACATGATTAGAGAAAAAAAAGTAAAAAGAAACAAACGAAGCCTTCAAGAAATATGGGACTATGTGAAAAAGCCAAATCTACGTTTGATTGGTGTACCTGAAAGTGATGGGGAATGGAACCAAGTTGGAAAACACTCTTCAGGATATTATCCAGGAGAACTTCCCCAACCTAGCAAGGCAGGCCAACATTCAAATTCAAGAAATACAGAGAACACAACAAAGATACTCCTTGAGAATGACAACACCAAGACACATAATTGTCAGATTCACCAAGGTTGAAATGGAAGGAAAAAATGTTAATGGCAGCCAGAGAGAAAGGTTGGGTTACCCACAAGGGGAAGCCCATCAGACTAATAGCAGATCTCTTGGCAGAAACTCTACAAGCCAGAAGAGAGGGGGGCCAATATTCAATGTTCTTAAAGAAAAGAATTTTCAACCCAGAATTTCATATCCAGCCAAACTAAGCTTCATAAGTGAAGGAGAAATAAAATCCTTTACATACAAGCAAATGCTGAGAGATTCTGTCACCACCAGGCCTGCCTTACAAGAGCTCCTGAAGGAAGCACTAAACATGAAAAGAAACAACCAGTACCAGCCACTGCAAAGACATGCCAAATTGTAAAGACCATCAATGCTATAAAGAAACAGCATCAATAAACGGGCAAAATAATCAGCTAGCATCATAATGACAGGATCAAATTCACACATAACAATATTAACCTTAAATGTAAATGGGCTAAATGCCCCAGTTAAAAGACACAGACTGGCACATTGGATAAAGAGTCAAGACCCATCAGTGTGCTGTATTCAGGAGACCCATCTCACGTGCAGAGACACACATAGGCTCAAAATAAAGGGATCGAGGAAGATCTACCAAGCAAATGCAAAGCAAAAAAAAAAAAAAAAAAAAAAAAAAAAGCAGGGTTTGCAATCCTAGTCTCTGATAAAACAGACTTTAAACCAACAAAGATGAATAGAGACAAAGAAGGCCATTACATAATGGCAAGGAGATCAATTCAACAAGAAGAGCTAACTATCCTAAATATATATGCATCCAATACAGGAGCACCCAGATTTATAAAGTAAGTCCTTAGAGACCTACAAAGAGACTTAGACTCCCACACAATAATAATGGGAGACTTTAACACCACACTTTCAATATTAGACAGATCAATGAGACAGAAGGCAAACAAAGATATCCAGGACTTGAACTCAGCTCTGCACCAAGCAGACCTAATAGACATCTACAGAACTCTCCACCCCAAATCAACAGAATATACACTCTTCTCAGCACCACATCGCACTTATTTTAAAATTGACCACATAGTTGGAAGTAAAGCACTCCTCAGCAAATGTAAAAGAACAGAAATCACAAAAAACTGTCTCTCAGACCACAGTGCAGTCAAACTCAGGATTAAGAAACTCACTCAAAACTGCTCAACCACATGGAAACTGAACAACCTGCTCCTGAATGACTCTGGGTAAATAACGAAATGAAGGCAAAAATAAAGATGTTCTTTGAAACCAATGAGAACAAAGACACAACGTACCAGAATCTCTGGGACACACTTAAAGCAGTGTGTAGGGGGAAATGTATGGAACTAAATGCCCACAAGAGAAAGCAGGAAAGATCTAAAATTGATGCCCTAACATCACAATTAAAAGAACTAGAGAAACAAGAGCAAACAAATTCAAAAGCCAGCAGAAGGCAAGAAATAACTAAGATCGGAACAGAACTGAAAGAGATAGAGACACAAAAAAACCTTCAAAAAATCAATGAATCCAGGAGCTGTTTTTCTGAAAAGATCAACAAAATTGATAGACCACTAGCAAGATTAATAAAGAAGAAAATAGAGAAGAATCAAATAGATGCAATAAAAAATGATAAAGAGGATATCACCACCGATCCCACAGAAATACAAACTATCATCAGAGAATACTATAAACACCTTGATGCAAATAAATTAGCAAATATAGAAGAAATGGATAAATTCCTTGACACATACACCCTCCCAAGACTAAACCAGGAAGAAGTTGAATCTCTGAATAGACCAATAACAGGCTCTGAAATTGAGGCAATAATTAATAGCTTACCAACCAAAAAAAGTCCAGGACCAGACAGATTCACAGCTGAATTCTACCAGAGGTACAAAGAGGAGCTGGTACCATTCCTTCTGAAACTATTCCAATCAGCAGAAAAAGAGGGAATTCTCCCTAACTCATTTTATGAGGCCAGCATCATTCTGATACCCAAGCCTGGCAGAGACACAACAACAAAAAAGATAATTTTAGACCAATATCCCTGATGAACATTGATGCAAAAATCCTCAATAAAATACTGGCAAACTGAATCCAGCAGCACATCAAAAAACTTATTGACCACGATAAAGTCAGCTTCATCCCTGGGATGCAAGGCTGCTTCAACATAGACAAATCAATAAATGTAATCTGTCACATAAACAGAACCAATGACAAAAGCAGATAATTATCTCAATAGATGCAGAAAAGGCCTTGACAAAATTCAACAGCCCTTCATGCTAAAAACTCTCGATAAACTAGGTACTGATGGGATGTATCTCAAAATAATAAGAGCTATTTATGACAAACCCACAGCGAACATCATACTGAATGGGCAAAAACTGGAAGAATTCCCTTTGAAAACTGGCAAAAGACAAGGATGCCCTCTCTCCCCCTTCCTATTCAACATAGTGTTGGAAGTTCTGGCCAGGGCAATCAAGCAAGAGAAAGAAATAAGGGGTATTCAATTAGGAAAAGGTGAAGTCAAATTGTCCCTGTTTGCAGATGACGTGATTGTATATTTAGAAAACCTGATCGTCTCAGCCCAAAATCTCTATAAGCTGATATGCAACTTCAGCAAAGTCTCAGGTTGCAAAATCAATGTGCAAAAGTCACAGGCATTCCTATACACCACTAACAGACAAACAGAGAGCCAAATCATGAGTGAACTCCCGTTCACAGTTGCTACAAACAGAATAAAATACCTATCAATCCAACTTGCAAGGGATGTGAAGGACCTCTTCAAGGAGAACTACAAACCACTGCTCAACGAAATAAAAGAGGACATAAACAAATGGAAGAACATTCCTTGCTCATGGATAGGAAGAATCAATATCATGAAAATGGCCATACTGCCCAAGGTAATTTATAGATTTAATGCCATCCCCATCAAGCTACCAATGACTTTCTTCACAGAATTGGAAAAAAAAAAAACTACTTTAAAGTTCATATGGAACCAAGAAAGAGCCTTCATTGCCAAGACAATCCTAAGCAAAAAGAACAAAGTTGGAGGCATCATGCTAACTGACTTTAAACTATACTACAAGTCTACAGTAGTCAAAACAGCATGGTACTGGTACCAAAACAGATATATAGACCAATGGAAAAGAACAGAGGCCTCAGAAATAACACCACACATCTACAACCATCTGATCTTTGACAAACCTGACAAAAACAAGAAATGGGAAAATGATTCCCTATTTAATAAATGGTGCTGGGAAAACTGGCTAGCCATATGTAGAAAACTGAAACTGCATTCCTTCCTTACAACTTATACAAAAATTAATTCAAGATAGATTAAAGATTTAAATGCTAGACGCAAAACCATAAAAACCCTAGAAGAAAAACTAGGCAATACCATTCAGGACATAGGCATAGGCAAGGATTCATGGCTAAAACACCAAAAGCAATGGCAACAAAAGCCAATGGGATCTAATTAAACTAAAACACTTCTGCACAGCAAAAGAAACTGCCATCAGAGTGAACAGGCAACCTACAGAATGGGAGAAAATTTTTACAATCTACCCATCTGACAAAGGGCTAATATCCAGAATCTATAAAGAACTCAAACAAATTTACAAGAAGCAAACAAAGAACCCCATCAAAAAGTGGGCAAAGGATATGAACAGACACTTCTCAAAAGAAGACATTTATGCAGCCAACAGATACATGAAAAAATGCTCATCATCACTGGTCATCAGAGAAATGCAAATCAAAACCACAATGAGATACCATCTCACACCAGTTAGAATGGCGATCATTAAAAAGTCAGGAAACAGCAGATGCTGGAGAGGATGTCGAGAAATAGGAGCACTTTTACACTGTTGGTGGAAGTGTAAATTAGTTCAACCATTGTGGAATAGAGTGTGGTGATTCCTCATAGATCTAAAACTAGAAATACCATTTGACCTAGCCATCCTTTTACTGGGTATATACCCAAAGGATTATAAATCATGCTATTATAAAGACACATGCACATGTATGTTTATTGCAGCACTATTCACAATAGCAAATACTTGGAACCAACCCAAATGTCCATCAATGATAGACTGGATTAAGAAAATGTGGCACATATACACCACTATGCAGCCATAAAACAGGATGAGTTCATGTCCTTTGCAGCGACATGGATGAAGCTGGAAACCATTCTCAGCAAACTGTCGCAAGGACAGAAAAACAAACACCGCATGTTCTCACTCATAGGTGGGAATTGAACAGTGAGAACACTTGGACACAGGGCGGGGAACATCACACACTGGGGCCTGTCAGGAGGTACGGCCTGGGGGAGGGATAGCATTAGGAGAAATACCTAATGTAAATGACTAGTTGATGGGTGCAGCTAACCAACATGGCACATGTATATCAATGTATCAAGCCTGCATGTTGTGCATATGTACCCTAGAACTTAAAGTGTGATAATAATAATAAAAAGAGTTAAATGATTTTACATTTTCACAAAATCTTTAATATTTGATTCAACTAAAAGACAGCCGATTTCCGTATCAGCTTCTGCATTCAATCTGTTGCAATATGTTGTTTTCATTAAAATATATGAAGAAAATCTGTCCTTTCACAGACATGTTGTTGGAAAAAAGGAGCATTTTAATAGACAAGCTTTTAATGTAATTATAGATATTTCTCCGGTACTACACTAAAACTTGACAAGTGGTAGTTTCTCAAGGGTTAGTTGATGAACTAAAATCATATTAATGGATTTTTCATCCACTGCTTTAAAATCCATTGACTTATATTATGTGTTAAGTGAATCTTTTAACCGTGCATAAATTTGCAACATCGTGCATTGGTAATTATAAGAATGTTGGTTTATGGAATTGTGTAACTCTTCCTCAAATGTTAGTATAAAAAGTATTACATTCATTAATATAACCAACAATCTCATTTAAAATGTCTTTAGGTATTTGGAAGGTGACAAGCTCATGGTGGCAGAGACAAATTTTTCAGAATTCTAATTTTCCTCTAAAAGTTCAAATTTTTTCATTGACAAAAAATATAGTCAACTATTATCTTGTCTTTTTCCCTTCCTTTCCATTCCTTTTCTTTTTCCTCTTGTTTTCCTCTTTTCCATCATCTTTATCTTTGTTTCTCCCTCCCCATCTCTTTCTTTCTTTGAAGTGGAGGTTCACTCACTTTATTCATTCTTGCAAAATGTCTGCTGAATAATTATAGTTTGTCCATCGGTCTTTTGTTGTTGAAAAGGAAATGATATTGCATTAAAAAGTGACTAGTTCAACTTAAAACTCAAACAGTTGTCCAGACAATTTTTTGAGATATATTTTATATGCAGCAGAAATGCATCATGGATATATTTCCAATTCCATCACACAGGACATTAAAAAGAAGTAAATTCAAGCACCAATATTTATTAAATTATTGCTTTTTATGGCTTCATCAAAGACATTTTTGAGTGAAATGGTATTCTTTCTTACTCCAAGTGCATGACAAAGGAAAATATGAGAACTACTAATAAAGTATGGTACATCTGCTTCTAAAAAATTTATTTGTAAATAATTTTTACTGAAACATAGCCATATTTATTTCTTTTATATATTGCTATAAAAGCAGAGTAGTTGCAACAGAGATTATATGGCCTACAAATGTCTTTATTAAAATATTTTATTATAGAAATAGTTGCCAACACTTTTTGTAGCATTAGCATCGTTTTGGGTCTTTTTTTTGGTTAATGGAAAATTTCAAAAGATCTTTAAGAATTGAACCCCTTCTTTTTTTTGTGGCTCTTTTAAAACAGTATTTGCTGGTTCAAGTCTGAACAGTCATTTCTGTGATTGTCATCTTCAAATATTACTGTTGCTTACACTGAACTCACAACCACCTTAGTTTTTGTTTGTAGCTGACATGATCTTCCAACTCCTATGCAAAATTCTTGTGTCATTTGTTGTTGCATCTTTTCTTATGCCAATTTGGGAGCCAGGAGGCTTGATGGGGAAAACAATCACCTTCGTGTCTGGAGACAACTCTTGTGCCTCTCCTTTGACTCATGCTAAGATAAAGTAGTTTTATTCACCATTGCTTTTACACAATCAGTGTGAATAACAACACAGTAAAAAGACAAATCCCATGTTAGCATTATTATGAAACTGTTTTGACCTCATAAATTTCCTGAAAGGGCCTGTTGATTTTCTAGACACCCAGTCACCACACATTGAAAACTGCTGTTCTAAGTTCTTATTCTCATTGTCAATTTTGATTTGGGAATGGATATGTGATGCAATCCTGGCTAGTGAGACCTGAAGGAAAAAAGTATGCTGTGGGGCTTCCAATTAAGTCGGGAAGTGGGCATCTTCTTTCTGCCGTGACTCTAAGTTTTGTCTTGTCTGAATGTTACTTCTGGGAATGCTACGGTCAGATGACCACAAAAGAAATCAATCATAAAATGAAGTAAATGCATAAGATGGGAGAACAGAGGGAAAAAAAGCAAAAAACAACACACTGGGGCTGGGAACAATGGCTCAAACCTGCAATCCCAGAGCTTTGGGAGGCCGAGGCAGGAAGATCACTGGAGCCCAGGAGTCTGAGATCAGCCTAGCCAACTTGCAAGACTTTGTCTCTACTAAAAATAAAAAACTTGACAGGCATAGTGGCATGTGTCTGTGGTCCCAGGTACTCAGGAGGCTGAGGTGAGAAGATTGCTTGAGCCTATGAGGTCAAAGCTGCAGTGAGCTTTGATCACACCACTCTACTCCAGCCTGGGCAGCAAAGCAAGACCCTGTCTCAAAAAAAAATAATAATTAATTAAAAAAGAATAAGAAAAAAAGAAAATAAAAGACAAAGAAGTACCTGGCTTCTTGGTGAAATTGTTATGTCACTGATCAAAGCATACCTGGTACTCACTTATTTCTTTGTACTTAATGAGACAACAAATGTCTCTAAGAGAATTTGAAATGAAGTTTTATTTTATGTGAATATTTAATAATAAATTAATTCAAACAAGTGTCCCTGTAAGTAATAAGGAGCTTAAAGCAAGATTAGGATGCCCCACAGAGAACAGTATGAAGTGAGATACTGAGGGATGCATAAGCAGTGTAGAATAAAGATTAAGGAGACTACATTATTTGCTTAACTCTGGTTAAGGATGGTCACCAATTCCTTGCAGATTAAAAAAATGAAGACTGGAACCAGGTACACTGGTATATTCCTTACAGTTTTCTAGAAATACATAATTTTTAAACTGTAAATAGCTTTTATTACAAGATGTCTCAATGACTCTCAATAAATCCTACTGTAACTTTTACAAGATTCCAAGCAAATGCATTCCTGTAGACACTGATTTATATATAGATACTCAGGCCAGGGGCTCAAGTAAGTAAAATTTTAAAATCTATTTTTTTCCTTGACATATTCTGAGATTGCTATTGCCATATTAATACTTAAATGTGAATTCTTCAGCACATAGGTTGCAAGACCACAGAGTTGCCAAAGACAGGAAGAAGATGCTTTGGTAGTCAGTGAGAAGGGAATAGATTTGGGGTATGATCAGATTGTCCAGACGTGAGTCTTATGGGCTGCAAAAGGAGTTATCTCTAAGCATTTAAGGGGCACTGGGCCTAGAAAGATGGGAAACAATGTCCTAAATATCGTGCAGGTACTTCTTTGTTTCCAATTATATAATTATATTAGTCAGAACACAATAGGTTCTGCTTCAGCAACAAACTTCCAAAGGCTCAGTGGTTTAGAACCAATATATCATGTAAAGTCTATTGCAGGTTAGGGGGCACTCTTCTGCTTCTATATGGAAAGTTTCCTATATTTTGTAGGCCATTATTTTATAATAAAATGTGGCTACTACATTTATTGCTCAAGGAGATAGAAAGATCATAAAGGTGGCACACTTACTTTAAAATACTTGGCTCAGAAGAGATTCATATCACTTCTTCTTTCATTTGACTAGCTAGAACTAGTACAGGACCCTGCCTAACTGCAAGGTGACTGGGAATTCTAATCTTCCCAGGAAGGAGAGTAGGAAAGAGTATATCTGAGCACATGTCATCTCCAGTGCAACATGCCTTCTTGATCACCAAATAATTGTTTAATTCTTCTGTGTACATGAAGAACACACTTAATCACTTCCTCAGGAAGATGTATTAAAAATGCCATCCTTGAGCCACATCCTTTGTATAGTTCAAGATCTCCATGTCATCTAGATAGCCTTCTCCATTATTTCTAGAAGTGACATGTCTTAGTCTGGTAACCTATGAATAAAAAAGATAGGTTTATCTTGCTCCCCACCCTTCCAATATACCTCAGTGAGGCAGGGACAGGAAACTACAATAAATTTTCCACTTAGAAAAGAAAAAAGTAGAAAACCCATAGTAGTCACTAGTCAGCAGCATTTCTGAAAATCTTCAGTCTTTCTCCTCACATTTCATGGACTAGGATTAGTCAACAGCCCTGACTGCCTGTGATGGCCTATGAAGCACAGTTTTCCAGTAGGCCCAGGAGGGGGAGAAGAACCAGATAAGAATGTGCACCACATCTCTGTACCACAGTTACTCAAATTCAAAGCAATATTTTAGTGTAAATCACAGAACTTGTGTATATGTGATATTAAAATATTATTTTTATATTTTCTGATTATAACAATTAGTATAAATTATTGGTGGATTTTCTCTGCTCGTGCCCAAAGCATGTGCCTATTGTTCTTACTGGATAACCCAGCTAAGGAGAAGGTACTAAGGAATGTTGGAGGGATGGTATGACAATTTATCTATTTCAGCAATTTGATTAAGACCAGTGCCAGGAAGAGGCAGATGACCAAATCATCTACATCTCACAGAGGTAGTTCTTTCACCAACTATGAAGCTAGGCTTGGAACCATCCTTCTCCTTAGAACAGTGTCACTGGGGCATCTTAGACCCTTGTATGAAGAAGTGTGCTTTAGGCTGTGCAAATAAGAATATTTGTATAAAAGTGACTTAAATAATAGGGATTTATTAATCTTATGTAACAAAATTTCTGGAGGTTGGTGGTTCCAGAGACAGTTCAGTGATGTGACTGGATTCTCTTCCTTTCTTTCAGATTTGCTACCTTCAGCATTTCAACAATTCCTTTCCTAATGTTACTATTACCTTCGGCATTTCAGCTATTCCTTTCCTAACGTTACTATATGGCTAGAGCAGGTGTAGGTGTCATGTTCTCTGGACAAAATCAGAAAACAAGAAAGAGGAGGTGGCAGGGCAGGATCATTTTCCCAAGTTCCAGCCCAAGCTGGAAATAACCTAAATGTCCATCAGTTGATATATGAATTATGGTTAATTTATATGATAGAATAGGAGATAATGATGGCTATAAGTGAACTGCAACTTTATGCATCAACTGAAAGAATTTTACATTATATTGAGAAAGAGAAGCAACTCTCAAAAGAAAATATATAATATGTTTTTATTTGTATAAAAGTCAAAAACTAGCAACAAAAACTGGGTTTTTTAAGGGTTGTCTTAGTCTGTTCCTGCTGCTATAACAAAACATCTTAGACTCGGTAATTTAGAATTTGTTACTCACAGTTCTGGACACTAGGATGTCCAAGATCAAGGCACCAGCAGTTTAGATGTCTGGTAAAAGCTCACCGTCTGCTTTCTAGATGGTACCTTCTAGCTGTGTCCTAACATGGCTGTAAGAGCTGGAGAGCTCCCTCAAGCCTCTTTTAGAGGACACTGGTCTCATTTATAAGAGCAAAGCCCTCATGAATAGTATTTATTCCTCCTAAAGGCCCTATCTGTTAATACTGTTGCACTGGGGACTAAATTTTTACATATGAATTTTGAGGGGACACACATTTAGACTATAGCAAGGATATACATTTAGGTGGTTGATACGGTTTGAATCTGTGTCCCCACCAAAATCTCATGTTAAATTGTAATTCCCAGTGTTGGTGGTGGGGCCTGGTGGGAGGTGATTAGGTCGTGGAGGTGGTTTCTAATGTTTTAGCACTGTCCCCTTCCTGCTGACTCATGATAGAGTCTCACATGATCTGGCTGGTGTAAAGTGTGTGGCACCTTCCTCTTCGCTGTCTCTTGCCTGCCAGCCATGTGAAGATGTGCCTTCTTTCCATTCACCTTCTGCAATAATTGTAAGTTTCCTGTGGCCTCCCCAGCCATGCCTCCTGTACAGCCCATGGAACTGTGAGTTAATTAAACCTCTTTTCTTCATAAATTACCCAGTCTCAGGTATACCTTTATAGTAGTGTGTGAGAATGGCCTAATACAGTGGTAAAACTACAAAGAGAAGGAAGAAAATATTATCATAAAATTCAGCACAGTTGTTTTCTCTGAAAGCAGTAAAATGTGGCAAAAATCAGGGAGGAGCTACTAAAATACCATAGATGTTTTTATATTTAACCTGAGTAGAGCATAAATTGATTTTTTATTATTATGTAAACTGTACATATATGTTATGTATACTCATCTCTCTATATAGTATGTTTTAAAATTTTAAAAATAAAAAAATAATGAAATCTGCTATTGGCATAGGGAGGAGAAATGGCAGTGCATGTGCCATGTGGAGACCAGCATTCTGCAATGTAGACCTTACCAGATAATCAAGGTAGAAAAGTAGCAGAAATTTGGAGAAAAAGATATGTTTAAGGATAAATATAATGTGCTTGAGGGTTCTCTATGATCTATGTCTTAGGAAACCCAAGCTTGGAGGTGGGTTGTCCTGAGTATACTAAGGCCAGAACAGAGAACATTCTCCAATATTTACAGAGGAACAAAGATAATTTACAGGTTTTAAAGAAGAAGTAAATTTTGTGTTTATCATAGGAGAAAACATTCCCAATGAGCACTGTTGCAGATACATTAAATTGATTATTTTTTTCTAATGATAGTTGCTGAAGTAGCATATTCATGTTAGGTTTTCAACCAGGATTCCCCAGAATAATTAATCAGAGTTTGCCAGCAATTCAATTGAGGTTTGGAAGGATGCCCAATGTCTCTTCTCTCGTAGTTTTTCTTAAGGGAAAGGAAATATTGGCAGAAGGTGCCAAGGACAAACAGAACTTCCCAGATGCCAGATGCCTACTTCTTTTGCTTCTTCCTTTTCTGCCCAGTGACCACAGGTCTTAGATCCTTCTTCAAAGGTTTTAATATTTTGTCTCTTTCCTCTAGCTACATAGGCTAAGTGGATAAGAAGATGCTGGATAGTTCAGAGGATGCAAAATGGCCAGGCACTCCCCATTTTAAAACCTGGAACTATTCTAATATATGTCCTTCACAGCTGATGTTGCAACCTTAAAGCAGCTATTTTTTTATTTGTTTAAAAAAATGTAGGGCTTTTAATACTGATATTTGAGTTGAAGGAAGGAGAGTACTATTACAAAGAAAGTGACCAGATTTGATACACAAGATTTACAGGTTAGAGATCTGCTGCATGAGCTCACAGAATTTTACCCATGGGTCTTTGGAGCTAGAACTCCAAAGCTCCTAAAGCTCCTTGAAAGACTGTTTGGAGCTGGAAATACTGTAGATGATACTTGATAGGCCATTTTAAGGCATCTGCATGAAAATAGACTAGTTTGTGGGCCCTGAAACAATTTCATGAAATGCTTCATCAATACTGAACTAATTTGGATGTTAAAATACTTCTATGCTCAACAGTGAGCAATTGATTCTCAGTACAAATTGGCTGCTACATTGGAAAGAAAACAGTAAAACCTCTTTTTTTCTCCCACAAAGAGTTGAATTAGGAAATGAGTGAAGGGCATGTTCAGATGTGAATTATCTGACTCATGTAATCATGGAATCCCAGAGATGAAGGGGAGCGTGGATGGATCCCTTATATAGTAATCATGGGAAGGGGTTAAAAGATTGTTAAAAAGTCCTGGACCCCATCCTGACTGGCTGAGTCAGGCTCACTGAGCATGGAGGCCAGAAACTTACATTTTAAGAAGCTCTCCAGAGGATTCTGACACAGTTGTCGTAGAGCATCTCCTAGTCCAACCCCTCATTTGCAAGTGAGAATACAGCAGCCAACAATTTGATTCAAAGTAATAATATTGAGCATACTATCTACTAGGCACAAATCTGAGTAAACCACATCCCTAGCCATTTGGCTAGGCTCATTGTTTTGTTGGAGAGACTAATGTACTAAGTGCTTTTCCAGCATATTGAACAAAGCACAGTGAAGTAAACAGTTACTTCTGCAGTGTGGGGAAGAGGATAAAGGGAAGACAAACTAGGAGTCAAAAAAGGCTTCACCAAGGAGGTGACAACTGACATCAGGGTATGTGTTCCAGGGTGAGTGCCATATATTTTCTGGATGGATAGCTTGTGTGGGAACATCAGTATCCCTGTTTGGATAACGTTGATAGATTAGTGTTCCTAGAATATAAGATTCACTCATATAAGTATTGTTAATAATAATAATAGTAACTACCAGTGATCAAGTACGTAGTATGGGCCAGACTAACATTATATGCTGTATATCATTTTTTCTTTACAACCACCCGGCAAACTGATACTATTATCCCCATTTTGCAGATGAGTTAATTGTCAGAGAAATTAAGTGACTTACTCAGGATCATACTGCTAGTCTTTTTTTTTATCAGAAGCAACATTGAAATTTCAGAGTGGGATTATAAGATTGAGGTGAATTACAAAATTTTGAAAAAAAAGTGCTGAGGATGAAAGAGAACTTTACTAGGTTTGAGTAAAATACCCACCAAGCAACTTTGTTATATTTCATTTGTACTAAGTGGTTTTGGCTGGGGAGCTTCAGAGCTGATATACACAAGATGTAACTTACTTGAGTCTCAAGGCTGCACACATTTGAACCCCAAATTTCCCATTCTGGCCAGAAAGGACTTTCTTTTTTTTTTCTTTAATCCTCAATGCAATGTAAAATTTAGGTCAGTCATTAATTTATATAACCCAAACTATTTACTAAAATTTTTCCACTTATCCACTTTCATGGGCCAGACTTGGAAGATGGAACTGCTTGGGGAAAGGAAGGTGTGTTTAAGGAAGGATATAGTCTGTCCTCTCCAACAACCTCCTTGATGATGGAAGGAGGAAACAGACTTTCTCTTTCTGATCACCAGCATGGTTGCAGTTCCAAGTTAACCATCCCCCTTTTAGTAGGTTGCTGACTTTGGGGTCTATCCCTAAACAGCTACTGATTCTCCTGAGCAGCTCATGTTTGAATGTTGAATAGCCGAGAGCTGTTCACCTGTGGCTCATTGGAGACCTCCTCCAGGTGAGGGCATACATCTCTGCTCCTCCTTGGTAAAGGTGGGTCTGCCAAGGCCTAGCTTCTTCTTGACTCTCATTCTCCCAGTGGAAAATCTTCCCTTATAACCTCTTGCTCTACCAGGAACCTCTCCAAATGGGATCCAGCTGCTCTATACAGCATCCACTAGGTCCACAGGAGACTTGAGTATTCTTCTCATACCAAGTGGCGCCAATGCAAGCTGCTCTTGGGGTTCCCTTGCAGCCTTACCCTCTGTCTCCTACCATCTTTCTTACCCTTTCAACATCAAATAATCAAATATGGTACAAGTTCAGTGACTCAGCAACTTTAAGGCCAGTGACCACTGACCTACCTAATAGGGGAAAGACTTGGGCATACTCTTTGAGGGAAAAAGAGGTTTAAGTTCCAGTGTATTCCCTTCTTGCAGGGGGAAAGAAAGATGAAGGTAGAGTGTATTAATTTGCTATGGTTGCCATAACAAAGTACCCAGACTGGGTGGCTTAAACAATGGAAATTTATTTTCTCAAAGCCCTGAAAACTAGAAGTCTAAGATTAAGGTGTCAACAAATTTGCTTTCTTTTGAAGCCTCTCTCCTTCACTTATAGATGACTGTTTTCTCCCTTTGTCTTCACACTTTTCTCTGTACCTGTCTGTGTCCAAATTTCCTCTTCTCACAAGGACACCAGTCATATTGGATTAGGTCCCACCCTAGTGATTTCTTTTTATCTTAATTATCTCTTTAAAGGTCCTATCTCCAAATACACTCACATTCTGAGGTACTGGGGATTAGGACTTCAAAATTTGAAGGAAGGGGAGCATATTCAGCCCGTAACAGATAGTCACATCTTCATCATCTCAACCTGAGGACACCCTCTACCCCCAGGCTTCTTTGTATAAACCAGATCCAGTAGGATTTTCCGAATTGGTTTATCTTAAATAAATGCTTTTGGCCAACTCTATTGTGGCATAGCTGGCACAATCTCAGCAGCTTTGCCTCTGAATTTACAGAGTAAGGCACATAGTTCCGTGTACTTCCAGATAAGGCCAGTCTCCCTAGAAATTCCCACACATTCCAGTTAGAAGTTGGGTGAAGGCTTGCAGCTGTAGAGTCACTCTCCAGAAGCAAAAAGGGACTTTCTTGGTGATATGTCATGTTAGTGTTTTACATTTGTATTCTGCTTCAGAATTTTCAAAGCTCTTTCCCCATTACCTGGGTGGTAGGGAGGGCAGATGTTCTTCCTGTCATTTTACAAGTAAGGAAAGTAAGCCATCCAGACATATTCAGTAATTTTGATACAGGAGTTAAGAAGAAATCACTTAGGCAGATAGAAGGGCATGGAGTCCTCAGTAAGGCTTGTCTTTTTAATGAAAAGCGGCCCCAAATCATTTTCTAACAAAGAGCATCCTGCAAGCTGGGAGCTTGCTGGATGAATGCTGGTGGGAACTAAGGACTAGGGGTGTTCAAGATGGTGGCTCCATCTTCCCTTCTTTGCCAGCCACGTGTACTGTAAAGGAGCAGACAAGATGGTGCCAATCAACTGGAAAGTCCATTTGCATAAGAAGATTAGGGTGGGGTGAGCAGCCTTCCCCATGTACTATGTAAATGTCATACCTGATCAAATGAGCCCTATGTTAAACAGACACTGCCTCCTCAATGTGGACTGTAAAACTCGGCGCGTTTGCCACCAGCCGGTCTTTGCCGCTCAGAGACCCCTCTCTCTATGGAGACAGCTGTTTCTCCTTCTCTTCTTTTCTACCTGTTAAACCTCCACTCCTAAACTCCTCGTGTGTGTCCGTGTCCTAAATTTTCCTGGTGCCAGACAAGGAACCCCAGGGCATATACCTCATTCTACATTGTCAGAGGTATATGCCCTGGGGTTATGCAAATGGGCTTTCCAGTTGATTGGCACCATCAACTGGAACGCTTCAATTTGTCTGAAGAAAAACAGATGCAGGACAGCCTGTCTAGGACTAAGTCTCCTTGATCTGCCCACTCTGAAGTGCTACCTTCATCCCGTTTGGGGGCAGAATAGGAGAAGGAGAGAGAGGTCAGCAAATTGGTTCACATACCTATATGAAAGCTACTATATTATAAAGAAAATTAAAATTAGCAGACAGACAACTTTGTACAAAATGAACTTTTTCTGGTATGTATTAAAGTCCACATGATTTGTGTAAGATTACAAATTGTTTTCTAAATATAGTTTCTAATATGTCACTGAAAGAAAATGATTTTATTACTGATAAATTGTTCCATTTTTTAAAGTGTTGTAATGTCTAATTTTGTTAAGAATCTTTTTATCATTAGCCTTTAAAAAAGCTAAGTTGAAAATGCTAATTATCAGAAAGCTTCATTACTTGCTCTTTAGAGTAAACTGCCAATATTTGCTAGGAGATGGATGTTCCTTTGTTGACCATTTATTCATTCACTTATTCACTGGTCAATGGCCACGTGTTAAGGGATTACTATCTTAAGGCATTGAGTTGTACACCACCTGGGGAGATTTTACATCAGGGTAGAGCTACCAGAACTACAAGAATATTTGTATCACTGTAGAAGAGTTTGTCACACACACACACAGCACCACATTGTTAGGGTTTTTGATCAGATTGTGAAGCAATATTAGTGTTAGAATTTTAAAGATTAATTTTTATCATTTTGTTATAGCCCAGTAGTTCCCTGGAAGGACAGATGCTATAGTTTTGAAAGACACTTTTCCTGGATTTGGAACCACCATGCCCTGTCTGATCACTGTACCCCATCCTTTTAATTGAAGCCTATAGTTAATTCACCTGGAATCTATTTGTAAGCCAAGGGAATATCAGCGACTGAGGATAGGTCCCCCAAATCCTGTGCCCACATGTCCCCATACACCAGAATACCTAAGAAGGAGGTCAAGGGAAAAGGCATATGGCTGTCTTCACTGTACTGAAGTTACTCACTCAGCTCCCTACTGCTGCTCTTGCCCAATGTGTCACTCCATAGACTTAAGATCCCACCTACTCACACTCTCTCACTTAGCCAACTTGCCTGAATTGACAACCTGACCTCTCCAGTTACATTCTGGAAGGAAGCTTCTTGGATCCAACATGTTATAACTAGACTCAGAAGGAATATAGTGACTGAGCATGTTTGTCCCAATAATCTCAGTATTCTCATGGAGAAGACAGTCTAGAGTTCAACAGGAGAATAAAAGTGACACCTTATATTATCAAAGACAAGTAGCTAATTAAAAAGCCTACACAGGAGTGTTTTCGTGTATAGTCTTCTCAGCCATTTAACAGCCTGAGAGGCTTGTGTCTGAAGATATTAAGTTCAAAAAAATACAAAGTTGAGAAATTTGAACACCATAATTTTAGAAAGGAGACATATCTGTCTGGCTAGTTGTGTTTCTTTCAATTTTGCTCTATTTTGCATTTCATTTCTTACAGTGGTACAACAACAACAACAACAACAAACCCTCTGCAATCTAAGTTTACATTTTAAATTTAAAATGCCAGCAAAATGAAACATTTTCCAATGTTTTGTTGGAAATTGAAGTTGGAGACCAATTTTTCTTTATACTTTGAATATATAATTTATTAAAATGTACAGTTTATACCGTAATACCAGAAGACAAGAGATACTATTTTATAAGAATAGAATTGAAATCTTATCCAGAACTTTTTATTTCATTTCTACAGTTTTGAATTTCAAATTGAAATCCAGTCACTGGATATAATGTTGTCACAATGCAAATAATATATGATTAATAGCAAAGAAAATTATTAGCTATAATAAATTAAGTAATTGATTTTTGTTTCATGAGGCTGAAAAACTACCAAAACTTATGAATGCAACATTTAAGTTTATTTTGTGGGCATTTACTTTATTCATCAATACAATATTTTAATTCGTCAATGAAATGATTTTTGTGACTTCATGAAAACTAATTCACCATCATCTTTAGCTAGTCACTGCATGCTGCTTTGTGAAGATTAAATGAGATTCTTTCAATAAATATCTTTGAATATCTACTATGGCACTATTCTTGGAGTTACGGATTAGCAACGGACAAAACAAACAAAAATTTCTGCCTTCTTGGGGTTTAAGTACACTTTATAGCTCATTAGAAGAAGATACATGCTATGGAGCAAAATAAAGCAAGTATGCAGAGGGTTAGGGTGGAGTGCAATTTTAGATGGAATGCATGGGGAAGGCCTCACGATGGAAAGGAGTTGAAGAAAGTAAGGGGACTGAACCACCATGTCACTGGGGCAAAGGGTATTTCCAGCAGAGGAACTAGCAGAGCAAAGACTTTGAGGCATCACCTGCCTGGTGAGCTGAGCTGCTTGTAGAGCTGTCTCTACAGAATGGTCCAAATGAGTGAGGGAGAGTATTCGGAGTTGATAGAGAGGAGGCAGCAAATCTAGTGCCTTGAAAGTGAGCAAAGAGACTTCAGCATTTACTCTGAAGGAGATCGGAAGCCTTCAGTGGGCTGGAAGCAGATCAGCACCATGACCTGGCTCACGTGTCAGGAAGAATAGGATGCTGGCACCATGGACAGTGCCTGACGCACAGAACTTGCCTAACAGATAACAAAGAGCAGGTGTTTTTGATATTTCCACCACAACGAGAGCAGGATTTAAGTGCAGAATCGAGACCATCTGCGTCCAGAATCCCTCAAGAGTTCCAAGCAGAGCAGAAGGCAGAGCATGCCAATGGGCAGGTGGAGATAATCCACTTTATCTGGTTTTGCCTCGCCTCTTTGTTGTGTGTAGGGGCTGGTTATCACCTTACCTCTATTCATATTATTTCAGTAACTCTGGCATTACTCTACCTGAGTTGAATAGAGAACACTTTGAAATGATCATAACTGAATTTTGACTGAGCACTTTTGTGTTGCCTCCTCCTTGCCAAACTACAGCTGCCCCTCACTGGCCACCTTTCCCAGCTTGAGCATGCTACACTTCATTCCCACCTAAGGGCATGGGCACCCTTCTCCTCCCTGAAATGCCTCCCCTGCCACTGCTGTCTCATGCTTCCCACTCCTCACCCTTCCGCTTCCTTCACTCCTCAATGTAAACATGAGCCCTGGAGAGGCACATGCTAATGCCTAAGGTAGGTTTACTCTATGTTCTCTGTGTTCCCTTTTTCTCTTTGTCCATAGACTATTGTATAATTTACAAAAGCATGTTTATGGATCCTTGTTGTTGTTTCCAATTATTAAATTATTTATTACATATTATAAGCTCCACAAAAATAATATCCATTTTATTATTAATTCTGTTTACAGAGTGCCTAGCACATTGTAAGTACCATCATTCTATAGTATTTGTGGGAGGCTTGGTTCCAGGACCCCACCC
Organism: Homo sapiens; assembly: GCF_000001405.40. NCBI lineage: Eukaryota > Metazoa > Chordata > Mammalia > Primates > Hominidae > Homo > Homo sapiens. Next base: position 90,351,676 of record NC_000010.11, on the reverse strand, counting down.
CAACTTCCCATACCAAAATCCACTGATGTTCAAGTCCCTGGTATAAAATGCTGTAGTATTTGCATATAAACTATGTACATCCTCCAACTTACTTTAAATTATCTCTAGATTACTTATAATACCTAATACAATGTAAATGCTTTTTAAGTACTTATTATACCGTATTGTTTAAGAAATAATGACAAGAAATCTGTATATTTTAGCACAGATGCAAACATCCTTTTATTTCTCAAATATTTTCCATCTAGTTGGTTGAATCCACAGATGTGGAACTGCTGGATATGATGTAAATACTCTGATAATATTTTATGAAAGGATGAAAGAACAAATGAATGAATGAGAGCAGCTTGGAGGGTAGCAAAGCCAGGATTTGTGTCATTGTTTTATTGCCAAACTGCTCTACTAATAGGGAGAGATCCCGAGGCCAAGACAGCATTTTGGGTTCAAGCACAAGACTGACACAGACCAAAGTCTCATAAACCCCTCGTCTTCCATGTTTCTGAGAACAGCACTCTCTTACATTAACCTCCCCTTCCCCTGTCAGCTGAGTGAACTCCTTCCTTCTATTTGAGGCCACAGTGTGCTGTGCCTTTATCATCACACTTATCAAACTCATGTTATTTATATCTTTCAGTGAATTCCTCTAGTATGGAATTATAGGCCTCTCCAGAGCAATGACCTAGTTTAATTTGGCCAAGAATAGATGGTACATGGCACACAGTAGGGGCTCAGTCAATGTTTGGGGAATGAAATGTATTATCTTTTTTATTTTTACTCTGTAGCAGGCATTCTTCAAGGCACTTTTCTTTTTTCCTTTTCTCAGAAATGGCTCCTGAGTTTAACCTAAGCCTTTTATATATGCCAGTTTTAATTCTCCCTAGTCTATCACACATTTTGACTGAGTTAAATATGTATTGACATTAGGCAAAGATCTGTTTATGTGGGTTTTGTACACCAAAAAATACTTGAAATGGCAACAACTGCCTTTTGACTTTCTTAATATACACAGAGATGGTCACAGAGCAAATGCCAATGACTTATCTTCGATTGAGACTTGGTTGCTGCTGAACCCTCTTTTTTTTATTACTTTACTTCTTCTCAAAGGAGAAGTCAGGATGAATAAAGTTGGTTAAAAAAATATCAGATGAACAAGAACACAAAAACTGGCACAGTCCCATACCCTGGCTGCTCTGCCACTTCTAGCTTCTGCTCATCAGAGTAAGACTGGCTTTTCAATGATGTTTAAAAAGTAATTATTTTAAAAATAATGACTTAGTTTTCAACTACTTTAATTAGAAAGACATAATTTGACATAATAGAAATCAAAATATCTAAGAAGATTATGCTGACCAGTCTAAAATTATTTCTGAACCACAATTTCTGAACCACAAAACACTTGTCTCTGAGCCATGACAATGAACATGGCTTGGGTATCTTCTAATGGAGGATATGTGATATTACTATTATCACTATTTAGTGGAGGGACTTCCTCCATACAAGGCTAAGAGCTGCTTTACCTTGCCTCATCTCAACCAAGATTCGATAATTGTAATTTAAACTTTAAAAACGAATCCCACAACAATTACTATACTCCTTAATGCTACAATAACTTGTTGTTTAGGTAATGTATGTATTCATGTTATAATGAGAAACCAAGGCCCAGAGACATAATTATTATTAAATAGTAGAATCTAAATTCAATCCCAGGTCTCTTCAGTTTTAAACATCTTGTTATTGCTCCATATCAAACTTCCTCTATGATGGATGGATGCATGGATGCATGGATGGATGGATACACAAAGAAAGCAACTGTGTTTGTATACATGGGTCACAATTGATTAGTTGATAAATCTATTATTACAAACATTTTATTAATACAAACTGTGAAAACTGGTAATATTTCATTTAGGTCACAATTTGTGCATAGAGGTTTTAATGATGCTAGACCTATTTAGTGGAACTGTATTCTCATAATGGAAATATATCAGAAAATATGTGCAATCTTCCCACATAGAATATAACATATTGTAAATAATTAAACTTTATTAAAATCAATTGAAACATATTTTGACTATAGCAACCACTTAGTCTGATCTAACGTAATGGACTCCTCCATGTGTAATTAATTTCTAGGCTGTCATTTTCTGGTGGTTTTGTCTGTAGCGAAAATAAAATTTGCAAATTGAAATTTTCACCCACAGAATGTCAATATTCTTTTTATTCAAAATAGGAATGCTATTGAAAATGGGTGGCTTTTATTACAACCTTCTGGGAGGCTGTTAGAAAGTCTGGAGGTTTTACATTACACACAGGCAGAGCCTATTTTTTCCTAGTTTGCTCTGCCCTGCTAGTTCATTGTGTCATCTGCAGGCATCTGAGTTCCACCTTCAGACTGGAGATATCTTAAGGGTTTTTTCTTTCTTTTCATGGAGCACCTCCCGTAGTTATAATATAGTTGAAAATGTAATTAAACTTATTGAATGGATGACCTCTCTCAAGGATAAAAAAATGTCTTGGCACACGAACTGGACTATAACATTTAAGAGTAAGTGGGCACCTGCTCAGACAAGTAAGTTAGTATAATATGGAAGTTGAAGTATATACTTAAAAGGAAAAATACCGGATAGGACAGATCCAAAGATATATTTTATCTGCAGACATCATTGTATCTTGAATTCCAACGCTCTCCTGCCAGTTCTTCTCCCCTCTCCATCTACTCAACCAACACATACTGTGGCCACTGGTATAAAACTATATGGCACTTCTAGGCTCCAGGATGAGTGTGGAAGTAAATACTTTCCTGTAAGAAATATTGATTAGAAAAAAAATTCAGGATAATTTCAATGAACTGAAGAAAGGTAAGTGGGCTAGTATGGCTGTTAAAACAATGAAAATAATATATTTTGCTTAGTTTCAGTCCTGATGTTTTTATTTCGAGTCAGAGAGTGGTCACATTTTAAAATTGCCTCATTTTGCACAACACTAGGGATAACTGGCTGGGCATGGTGGCCCACCCCCAAAATCCCGGCACTTTGAGAGGCCAAGGCAGGAGGATAGCTTGAACCCAGGAGTTTGAGACCAGCGTCTGTACTGAACAATAAGAGACCCTGTCCCTATCAAAAATTAAAACAAAAACAAAAACAAAAACAAATAGTTGAGCATTGTGGCACATGCTAGTTGTTCCAGCCACTTGGGAGGCTGAGACGGGAGAATCATGTGAGCCCAGGAGTCTGAGGCTGCAGTGAGCTGTGATTGTGCCACTACACTCCAGTTTGAGCAACACAGTGAGATCCTGTCTCAAAAAAAAGAAAAAAAAAAACTTGTATATTCATTGGGCATATATTGTTTCATAGGAAATTCACAAAAACCTAACCAGAAAGGGAGAGTGGGTGTAGTTTCCCTATTGTAAGAAGAAAATTACTGAGGTTCAGAGTTGTATAGCTTGCCCAGGCAGGTCTGTGTAATGTGGAAGAAGACTCTGACTCCCAGTTCAGTGCTCTTCCCTCTCCACACTGCTGCTTTCTAATAGTGATGACTGATCAATTGTCATTAAGCTTGGTGTGAGAGGCAAAGATTAAGTCACTTTTCCTCTTACGCTTTGTCTCTGCCTCTCTCTGCCCTGCCTGCCTCCTGCTATTCTGCAGCCTGTTGTTTTCTCTGTATGCCAAAGGAATGAAAAGCAATGTTCACATTAAACTTTGTTGATTTTTTTAGCTGATTTTGTAGCATTCAGCATAATAGTCTGAGAGGCTATTTGTTTATTTCACTATTTTTTTGTTAGAGAGAATGTTCAGGAAAAATGCAGCTTTTGAATATATATATAGACATTACTTACCAGTATTTGCAAAATTGAAATGACTCTCATTAAGGCTGTTAAAAATGAAGTGTAAATGGTATTCTCTGTGTTACATTTATTTGACTTTTGCTGCCCAGCCTGGCAAAAGAGAAGTTTAGAAAAATTCCTAAACACACTAGGAAAATTGCAGTGAAGAACACGGTATTGAGCAGCAAGGAAGCAGAAATGTTAAAAGAGGGGTTGTCCAAAGGGTGCATACAAGGTTGGCCCTGCCACTGGCTCCTCTAGGCCATGATATCCAATATAGTAGCTAACCAAGTAGCCTGTTTAAATTTAAAATAAAATCATATTAAAAATCTGATTTCTTAGTCACACTGGCCACATTTCAAATAGCTCCATGTAGCTAGTGACTACCACATTGGTCAGAACAAATACAAAACATTTCATTATTGTGGGAAGTTTTATTACATTGCCCTGCTCAAATAGATGAGCAAAGTTCCTCATTTCAAAGCCATTTAAATAAGGTAAGAACAATGAAGCATTCCTAAGGATTCCTTCTGTTTTCCCTCCCTTCCGACTTCCCTTCTTCATTTCCCTATCTCTTTCTTCCTTCCGAGCCTCCTTCCCCCTCTCTCTCATCTTCCTTTATTTCTCCCCTTCTTTCCCTTGTTCCTTCTTCCTTGTCTGTTAATAAATATTCAGGGAGCAATTGCAGTGAACCTGGAACTGTCCTAATGTAGGGGCTACAATGGTAAGCAAGAAAATATATGACTCCTGCCTTCAGGCAAGTCACAATCTAGTAAGGGATTAATACAATGAAAATTTGCAATTATGACGCAGTGTGACAGGTGCTATGTGAGTCCAGATCTACTTTTGGGAACCGAAGTTTACACAAATAAGTGAAATCAGAAAGCTAAGACTTTGAGGATTAGTAGAAGATACCTACGTGTAGGAGAGACGAGAGAAGGAACTAAGAAGAGTGTTTCAGACAAATGGATAGGAAGGAAGAAAGAGAGAACAGGATTTACTCTAGGAACAGAGAAATTGAAGATGGCCAGAGGATACTGTGCAAGTAGGAAGAAAATCTGTTACAGAAATGAGCAGGGGTCAGATAATAAAGGGTCTGAAGCCATCTTAAGGTTTTATATTTCATCCTAAAGGCAATGGGAGTGTCCAAAAAATTAACATAGGATTGTGACTCCATTATATTTGTATTTTTGATAGATTATTTTTGTTGCATTGTGGGAAATGAATTGTGATTGGCAAGGTCGGAAGGCGAGCAAGACCTGAGGCAGAAGAAAACTAATTAGGAGGCTGTTGAGTTATTCCAGATAAAGACGTTGGCTGGTGGCAGAGAAAAGGCTTATCTAAGTGGACAAAAAGAAAATAATTTTTGTAGATAGGCAGGATCTGATGATTGAGTGGGAGATGAGGGAGAGAGAGAAGTCAGAGCTGAGTTCTGTATTTCTCATTTTAGCAAATAGATTGTGAAGCCATTTACAGAGATGGAGAACACATACGGAGAGGTGGGATTAAGGAAAAGGTGATAGGTTTAGATCTCAATTCAGATTTCATTTCGGAAAGCAGCCTTCCCTGACTCCCTTGCCTATGACAGCCCCCAGTTTTATTCCTTCTCTTAGCACATTATACTTTTTTTCATAGTTCTAACAACAGTTGCAATAGTACATTTATTTGTGGGATCATTTTATTATTTGATTCTCAAGTCTCCATCACTGAATTGCCAGAACCAGGAGAGCAGATGTTGTGTTTGATTTCACTGACCACTTAATCCCCACATCTAACATATTGTCTGTTTGTGACATGATGTGATGAGTTGGAGCACAATATCATAGCAGGACCTTTCCTTTGTTCTTTGGGCTTCATTTCAGGACGAGCAGATACAAACTGATGTTCAGCCTTTCTCTCTTTTCTTTTCTTTTCTTTTCTTTTCTTTCTTTCTTTTTTCTTTTTCTCTTTCTCTCTTTCTCTCTTTCTTTCATTCTCTCTCTCTTTCTTTTTTTTTTTGATAGAGTCTCGCTCTTCACTCAGGCTGGAGTGCAGTGGTGCGATCTCAGCTTACTGCAACCTCCACCTCCCAGGTTCAAGCGATTCTCCTGCCTCAGCCACCCAAGTAGCTGGGACTACAGGTGCCCATCACCACACCTGGCTAATTTTTGTATTTGTAGTAGAGGTGGGGTTTCATCATGTTTGCTAGGCTGGTCTCAAACTCCTGACCTCAAATGATCCACCCACCTCGGCCTCCCAAAATGCTGGGATTACAGGCATGAACCACGGTACCTGGCCTTAGCCTTTCATTCCAAGTTTCCAGTCTAACCTTTAGTCCCAGTGTGCTCAGTGCCCTGGAAACATGGATCTCAAGAAAGGAAAGATCTTCTATGAGTCACTTTTACATGTGAAATTAACTCCTTGAGTTTAATTTCCATTTGCATGTTAACCCTTGGGTATTATTGCGTTTAAGATTTTACCCTTCGTAAAAGATGGAGGAAAGGATATTCTTTTAGAAAAGGGCATTTCCCATAGTAAATGACATTACACCATGTATTCTGCCTCTTTGTGAAGTAGGTTCATTATAACATGACTTTCTGAATGTGAATATGGAAAAATCTGATTCCCACCCACAGCACACACACTGACTGTGTGTGTGTGTCTCTCTCTCTGTCTCTCATACACACACACACTCATATAACATACCCTGCTATAGTCAGACAAAATCTTAAAGTGGAAAAGACAGACTGAAGAAAAAATGTGGCATAAAATGCATAGGCTCTGCAATCAGATGGACTTTGTGTTAAATCTCAAGTATCTCAATTCTAATTGTAAGGTTTTGTCCATGTTGCTTAAAAAACACAGTCAATACCTATTTATTAGAAGAATCACTGAATGAACTCAATTTTTCATCTGTTAAGAGGAAATCAATAGTACTTGCCTCAAAAAGACTGTTGGGAAGATAAAATCAGATCATAGAGAAAGTATTAACCCATAGTAGGCACTTGATACATGACTTTCCCTTTATGAACTCCAGTAGCAAAGGATAAACTCCTCCATAAAGGATAAACATAAATAATGAGTGGAAATGAAATGGAACTCAAAAGGGAAAACGGAGCCCAGCCATTAAATATCTTAATGTACCTCAGCTTTTTCACTGGGGTTCTCCAACATCAATATAAAGCCCCAAAGGACAAAATCTTCAATGATGTTTTAGTTCCTATTGATACTGTTAACATTCTCTGCTAAGTTCAGTGTAGAAAATTTGGCCAGGATTTCTTCTTTAGTGAAGTAATTAACATGACCATCCTTTTAAGTGTTGTCATAGTAGTTACCATGGTTATAAAATGAAAATGCAATCTGAGTAATTCATAATACATAAATCTTCCCAGAAAAAAACAAAATGAGTACTTTTAGGATAACTGAATCACTTTGGTGATGTCTCAGTGCAACCTGTTACTCACTTGAATGCTTCAGACAAAGAGGTCTAATGAGTAACAGATTAGACTGTTTGCATTTGCAACCAAATGTACCAAATACATTCCTAATATGTTAATTAACATTGTCTCCATATGCAAAAGAAAAACATTTCATCTGAGAAGACAGGTATTGATTATAATGCAGACTTATCTGGCATTTGAAAAAAATCTCTGGAAAGATAAGTTAAGCAACAGCAACATTTAAAAAAGAAAACTCTAAACTGGTAAGTCATGACCAGAGGTCATTTCTGGTAAATAAAGAAATAGATAAAGAAAGAATGGCCAATTTATACATATTGTTAAATATTATAGGCTGATCATGAAGATTTAAAGAGTTAAACACAAAACATCCCTTTGAAATGCTTTTAATAAAATTGAAAAAGAGTTTAAAATGTTAATGCCAGAAGATTTCTATTGCAATGTGCGAAAGGACAACCAAAATATTGTCTCAGAAAAAGACAAATGTGAAAAACAATGGTCCCAAAGACTCACATAGCTGCTTCAGCCCCTTTATCTCCAAGGTGCCAAACCTGCTCCATTTTTCTCTCTAAATGCCTCTCCACTCCCCAATCTTTTCTTTTCTGTTCTCACTGACACCATCTTTAGTCTATCTCTCTGTGGCAGACAGACTCTAAGATGCTCCCCACTTATCACTGCCTCGCGGTATCCATGCCCTTGTGTAATCCTCTCCCTTTGAGTGTGAGTATGCATTATGACTTCCTCCTAACCAACAGAATGGTAGTATATCACTTCCATAGTTATAGGAAATAAGATTACATCTTCTCTTTGCTAGCAGGCACTTTCTATCGATTATCTCCCTTGCTGGCTTTGATGAATCAAGCCCCCATGTTGTGAACTGCCCTATGGAGAGGCTCACATGGCAAGGAACTGAGGGTGTGACTTGTGGCCAACAGCCATCAAGGAACTGAAGCCTTCTGACAGCCTGCAAGAAACTAAATCCTATACACAACAATATGCCCTTGTAAGTAGACTGTTCCTGTCAAGCCTCAGATGAGACTCCAGCTCTGGCTGACACCTTAATTATAGTCTTGTGAGAGACCTGAAGCAGAAGATCCAACTAAGCCATGCCTGGATTCTTGGGCACTAAGTGTTAAAATCATCCATTATATAACAATAGATAATTAATTAGCAATAGATTACTAACATTCCCTCATCACTCGCAACTGCATTAAGGATGCTGTCTTTCTGCCAGCCTATGAACGGTTTTCTACAACACCCACCCATTCACATTGTAGCAACACTATAACCTTGTTAATACCTCTTGTATTAATTGTTTTTTAGTAGATATTTTTCATTTTGCCTGTATAGTATATGTCTTTCCACTTTCTAGTACTAAAGAACTTCCTCCCATAAGAGTGGGCAAAGGAACAAAGTGGGTAAAATCTCCATAGCCTTCCCTGCCAAACCTATGGTTAAAGACGGCATCCTTTCACTGACTCCTGTGGCTTAAAATCTCTCATATTCTCTTAATTACCTATGAGATGAAGTTCAAGCCCCTAATCCCAGCAGAAAAATTATCTCCCAGTCCAATCTTTCTTTTATTTCTTTTCTAGCCTCATCTCCCTTCTCCTCCTAACATAAATTCTTGACCAACATGGTTGGTCCCCTTCTAGCCTCAAAATCAAATGCTCATTTGCATCCCCATGTCTTTACCATACCCTGTTAATCTCACACTTCTTTGTTCCTCCAAAACATGCTGACAAGGCAGAAAAGACTTTTAAAGCCCCCAAAATTTAAAAAAGTTTTAGCAAATATTAACATCTTAGTAGATCTTTTTTTCTCCAGTGACTTCCTTTTGAGAAATGATCTGCAAGTTGTATCAGGAGAAGCCCCATAGGGAAGCAATAGACAAGAACCAAAGGACCTGGAAGGTCCCCAGCATTGTGGGCCAGTGTGATACATAGAATTGGAGCTGAACAGAGAGGGATATTTTTTCTTTTTCTCAAACAACAGGACATTTATATGAAAATGCATATTGGAAGCTTTCAGCCTCATTCCCCCTCCTTAGTCCTGGGCATCAGGGCTCTCCTGGGAACATGGATGTGGGAAAACAGCTGAGCCTTTCTCAGTACTTTCAAGTATACTGAGACCTTTCTCTCCAAACTAGGGTGAGGTAGTGAGTACTGGTTTACACTATTATAAAGCACCACAGAGACAGCCGGTTGTATTTTTGACAAAACATTGATTCCAGTTCTTGTGACAACACAAAGCTCATTCTACAATTTCTGCCTTATGTTTTTGTGATTTACATCTCTGTCTGTTAGTATTCTGCTGTCTCCCCACTGCTTGCATTGAACCTCATACCATTCACTACTTCATAGCAAATCCAATCACACTCGTCATTTGGTAACTTTAGTGACTTTGCTGACAATTTACCACATGGTCCAGGATGACTTTAGCTTTGCCACTGTCTTTACCTCTATGCCTCTCTTCTAGCCCAATCACCTCACGCTTTGCCACCTTCCAAAGCCTGGACTCCAAGCTCATCCAGTTATTTTGCAAGTGCAATCCAGTCCCCGACTCCACATGCACCCTATTGGCTAATCCTAAGCCATGTGCCCTTTCTCAAATCGACAAGGGTTGCGGAGAAAAAGAAAGTAATCTAATGCAACGTAAGTTGCCCCCAAACCCAAGCCACTTTACACAGGATATGGGATTGTGAGATGATACCTTTTTCCTGTTCTTGATTCCAGCTGGGCAGGAATTCTTACATGACAGGTAAGGCAGTGTCAGTATACACCTTCATTGATTTTTACGTACACTGACATGATCAGAGTCATCAGGAGATGCTCTGGGTTATTAACGTTTAAGTGGTATCTCAAGAACCCTGGTCCCATTAAGTCTTTCACATGTATGTGATTTTCTTGCCCTTCTTGCATTGCTTTTTGTCTTAAGTGCCCAAAATCCTCCTTGAACTTTTCCTAAGTTGGAACTAACTAAATTGTGTTTAGCTTTGCTGCAATTACTCTTTGCTCATTTGAGTGGTGATTCTCTGACTACAAATTCCCTCTCTGTCTCCCTCCCTCCCTCCCTCCCTCTCTCTCTCTGCCTGTTTCTCTCTCTCTCTGTGTCTCTTTCTATACACACAGACTCCTCAACTGAATAATGGAGTTACATCCCAGTAAACCCACCATAAGTTAAAAATATCATTAAGTGGAAAGTGCATATAGTGCTGGCAAAAGAGCAGATGGTCCTTCACTTATGACGGTTTGATTTAGGATTCTTTTACTTTATGTTGATGTGAAAGTGATATGCCTTCAGTAGAAACCATAACCCCATCTTAAGTCATAAGGAGATTCTCAACTTAGTATGAGGCTTCATCCTGATAAGCCCATTGTAAAGCTGAAAAACCATTGCTAGTTGGAGATGCCTGTATATATAAAATCCCTCATGATAATCTCATTGTAATGCCATTGCTATAATGTGTGGACCCTAAAGCCATGGCAAAAAAAAAATAGTGGAATATGAGAAGAATAACTTTGGAGCAGCTATTGAAGGAGACTTTAACTCTTTCTTTTAAGATTCCTTCTAGATTTCTGAGTATCTTTAAAGTTATAGTTGAAAGACTGTGGACCATTATACCATACTAACTATGCATTATTTTTCTCTCTCTGACTGGTTCTCTCCAAGGTTTTACAAACCTGTATGATTTTTCCAGAGTTTATAAGCTTAATTTCTGATGTTTTTCCTTCCTTGTTTATGAAGATTTACTTTCTGCAAAATTCTTCTGGCTTAACACAATCACCTGCCACCAGGTATCTCACTGTTCCTCACAGAGTATATTATTATTATATATTGTAAGATTAGTCTCTACTGCTTGTAAATTGAGCACTCAGCAGAGGCAGTAGCCAGGTAGGTCTTTGTGAGGTAAATTCATGTATTTGAGCCCATGAAGAGCTACCATCCCTGCCACCATAGCTACTTTGTTCATGAGCTCATTGGGCAATCACTGGGAGTTTAGAGAAGGAGCATAGAGAATGCCATTACCTCAGCACCTCCTTCATGGTGAGCACCTCAGGTACACATTCACATGAGACACAGATCTTCTATCTACTTCTTCCCCCAAACACTTCAACACCAATTCTTAAATCTTATTGTTGCTGACCAAATGGCAAAAACTTCCGTCTTGCCCATGAATTGAGGTAGAGCCCAGGCCTCCCTTATACACTTCTGGCTGACACCAGCAAAAGTAGGCTTTACTGTGAAACTAATGAAGCTTAAGTTTAAGAACTCCTCATATGCAAGGATTCTTCCAAGATCTGGTATCTTTTTAATTTTTACTCATAAGTTTTATTTGTTTTCTTAAGGAGTGCCCTCCTCTGAATTTGACCATCATGCCCAGCCATGCATGCATATTTTTATTAACTCATTCCAGGTCATAGTTATTAATTCTCCTCGAAACATAGTGTGGGCTGATGAGGGGTGATAATGTGACAAAATTCACCTGTTCATGTTTCTGATTTTTGCCTGTAGAACTTGCTCACAACGTGGTCCATTTGAACCTCTTCCTCTTAATGAAAAGAAGCTACATGATAAGGTGAATCTGATAATACCATATATATGATTGGCAGCTCAGATCACCAGATATCTTGTGGCTAGGCATTTACTTTTTATCAGCACCCAGTAGAAAGTCAAGAGCTGTTTTCCAAAAGGAATATAGTTATTTGCTCAAGAGTACATGGCCTAAGGGTCTATTCCTGTGTTTCTCCTACTGAGGCATATCAAAGTTGAATACAATATTCTAGCCTGCCAGAGATATATCAAGTACCATTTAATCTACTGAGTCATGAGTGTCAAGGGGCATTGATTATTTCGCTGCTGCCTGGAATATGGTCCAGAGAACCTTTTGCTCTGCATCTGTCTCAAAGTTTAAGGTTTTTCAGGTTACTGAGTAAATGGTTCAGAAAAGTATGACCAAATGAGGTATATATTTCTTTCAAAATCAAAAAAGCTCTACCAAACAGTGGGGTAAACATAGTTCACGATGTGTAGCAACTTGTCTAAAGCTTGAAAGGTGATATTTCAATAACTCCAGAGCACTGGAACCTCAGAACCTTACCTGAAGTTACAATTCTATATTTTCTTATGAGTTTTAGGCGTCACCCTCTACACACATGTCTTATCATGTCATCCACTGCATTACTGCCTCCTGCTCTGTAGATCCTTTAAAAAAGAAAGATCTCTTCAATGTGGTAGAATGGCATTCAACATTATATCTGGTAAAATATCTTGCAGAATAAATTAGGATACTGAGTGAAACATTGAAGTAATCATGAAGAAACACTGCAAAGATATACATAAAAATCAAACTGCTAGTGATGTTTTAGTTTAGAGGAAAAAAATACTCATCAATTCAGTGGCTACATATTAGGTATCAGGAACTGTGTTGATAGGCTCCAATAATGAAATCAGACAAGGATTAGAAACTTTAATAAGAGTCAGACCTGATTGAGCTTATGATTATCTGTGCTGTGTATGAGGCAATCTAGATGATTGAATGGGGATGTGATAGAAGTCATCATCACTATATCCTTTAGTTTATTGATAATGAATGGTACTAATACCAGAGGAATGCCTAATTGACTTTGATTTAGTATTTGATAGAAATGGAGAGCCCCAGGGATTTCTATTTCCACCAAGAAAAAATTTCCATGGGCCAAGAACAAAGAGGCAGATTCTATATTTGATGAGGATTATTGATTCCAATTATATATTTGATGCTATGATCTGAATGTTTGTGTTTTTCCAAAATTCATATGTTGAAATCCTAATCCCAAGGAGAAGGTATTAGAAAGAGGGCTGTTGGAAGGTGATTAGGTAGTGAGGGTAGAGCCCTCATAAATTGGATTGATGCCCTTATATAAGAGGCCCCAGAGAGCTGCCTTACCCCCTTTCCAACATGTGAGTACACAGTGAGAAGGCGCCATCTATGAACCTGGAAGAGGGACCCTGCCAGACACTAAATCTGCCAGTGCTCTGATCTTGGACTTCCCAGCTTCCAGAGAGATGGCAGGATGAAAACCTGATATCAGATATGTGGACTACATGGACCCAAAGTCATGGGGAATTCCATCAGCACAGGAGCCTGAAATACCTGAGAATGTAATGATAGATTAATCAGCCAAATAAAGAGAAATATGAGAAATAAATTTGTGTTATTTATAAGCTACCTAGCTTATACTGTTTTGTTATAGCAGCCTGAATGGATTAAGATACTCAGAACGGGGAAAATAAATACAGGATGGATTTGATGTCTCATTTTGTTTTGTATGAGGTAGATTAGTGTCAGAACTCATCACTTGACCTCCATCAACCCTCACTTTGATTTGCAGACCAGAGTAACACTATAAATCTCCTGGAATTAGCTCATAACCAGAGCGTAATAATCTCCAAGAGGTCTGGACATTTCTCTGGACCTAATTTGGGGCTTAATTACAAAAATAAAAATGGTCGGTCAGATGTATAAGATAAAGCTACTCCAGGACTTCTATTTAATGTGCTTTTTTATTCCTTTCTCTACCTTAGTCAAAATAATTACTGGAATATCACATTAATATTATGTGAACACCTTATATTGTTCAGAATTTCACAAACCAGCTGAGCAAAGAATTAGAACTATTCTCAGATGTTTGACCAGAATGCTTAATGTAGAATTTCTGGCACACATAATAATAAATTTGGGTAGATTCATCATCCATCTATTTCAATTCGAATTACAATAAATCTATTTTATTTTTCACACATATTCTCAAGATTCCAGTGGTATAAGTCAGTATGGTACTGAAGATGTTTGGTGTGTAAGCTTTCTCTTCTTTGGCTTGACTTTGCAACTGGCTTTCCAGGACATGCTGAAACCTGGCTGTGGTTTTAAGTTTGAAGACAAAGAAGAAAAAAAAGTGGACATGAGAAAAGTTGGTCCACTTGGTAAGGTAACTCCCTTAGGTAAGCTAAGACAATATCTTCAAGCCAAAAGAGATGACCTCATTGACAGGGAGAAGGCTGGCAGTGGGAGATGAGGATTCAAGTAGTCCAAGTTTTTCCAAACCTCCTGTATATTCTTAGGGGTCACACCAGCCCTAGAACAATGGCAGTGAATTCAGCAGACATAATTTCCTGAACCTTGTTGCATCAGTAAATAAAATATTATTTTAGCTTCATCATAAACAACATTTATATGAGAATTTGGGGAACTCTTATTCTTTTTCTGTGAGCTGTCCAGTAAGGTGATAGACTGGCATCTCACTCTGTAGTCTTTGACTACTATGCTCTTTTCACTTTTAAATGGAAGTAGCAACTTGATCCGAGAGAACTGTCCTCAATGGGCACTTCATTCGAGATAAACAGAGATGATAATTTAGTTGGCTGATTTATCATTACATTCCAGGGTCTTTCAGTCTCCTGTGCTAATGGGATTCTCTATGATTTTGGGCCTACGTAGTCCACATATCAGGATTTCATCCTGCCACTTCTCTGAGAATGTGTTCTCTGTTACCTACTGATACTGGTTTTGGTATCAGTCGGGGTTCTTGATTATAAATAGCAGAAACTGACCTGACAACAAAAGTAGAAAACAAATTTACTGAAAAGACCTAATCAGAAGGCTGGAGAACCAATCTTAGAGAGTGTGTTGGAGCTGAAGTAGATCACCTCATACCCAGAAGTAGTCTGGCTGTGGTGCTGCCAAAAACATTGCCAACACTGTTCATTTGAACCCTCCAGACTGCTGTTGGACATTCTGTCCAACCTCTGTACCAAATATTATCATGGTAGGCCCTCTGTATTTGCATTTCTTCAGGGTCAAAGTCATAGACATGATTATCCAGATAGTTAAGCCTTCCATCATGACTTACGTATCAGGGATTCTGGCAAACACAAAGGTGCTTTGCTGTTGTATAGACACCTCTTACCATCCTCCTATTTCCCACCAAATATAAAGGCTTGCCTCACACAGTATTTGCAGGCTTCATGGCTCCTCCAATGCCCTCTGGATACCATTTCTGTCCAAGACATTAAAATGTTTAAGGAACCTTTTGCCTTATGTTCCCAGATGATACTTAAAGTAATGATGATAACAGAATATCATTTGGTCACCTAGGGCATGAGGAGAGGGCAGCAGAAACTCAGCTCCTGTTTTTCTAAAGTTATAAGCTCCTCAAGGGCAGAAGTTGCCTTGTGCTGGTATCCTTACTACCTAGTGCCTGGAACATGTAGGCAATCAATACATATTTATTAAACTGAATGATGAATGAATGCTAGTCATATCCAAGGTTATTATCTTTTAAAAATGAGGATTGAGACTTGTACCCTATTCCATATCCCCCAAATCACTACAATGGAACCACAACTTTTAGCTTACTTTCATTAGACTGCCTGCAGTACGGGATAAAATGGAGATTCCTGGGATTCATGCCTGACCTGAACTGAATCAGACTAATTACAGGTGATGCTCAGGAATCTATATATTCAACAAGCACTCCAGGTGAGCCTCATGCACAACAAATTCAAAGCTAATGTTCTTTGTGGGAGTTATTATTACAGATTGGAGTTTTAAAATTTTAGTTAGCAATAATCAATGAGGGTGTTGGGAATAAAATTCTGTAAAGCTTCATTAATAAAGCTTTGGTATTCATTTTAATGAATATGTGACTCCTAGAAGACAAGTTTTTCCTACTGTATACTTAGTGTTATATGGAGGGATGCTAATAACTGAGAAAAGAAGTAAAAACTGTTTTATCTTCTTAAATAGAATATTACTCTCATTTCTTTTTCTTTTTTTGCCTTATAATTTTATTTTATTTTTTATTATACTTTTAAGTTCTAGGGTACATGTGCACAACGTGCAGGTTTGATACATAGGTATACATTTGCCATGTTGGTTTGCTGCACCCATCAACTCATCAATTACATTAGGTATTTCTCCTAATGCTATCCCTCCCCCAACATCCCACCCTCAGACAGGCCCCGGTGTGTGATGTTTCCTGCCCTGTGTCCAAGTGTTCTCATTGTTCAATTCCCACCTATGAGTAAGAACATGCAGTGTTTGGTTTTCTGTCCTTGTGATAGTTTGCTGAAAATAATGGTTTCCAGCTTCATCCATGTCCCTGCAAAGGACATGAAATCATCCATTTTTATGGCTGCATAGTATTCCATGGTGTATATGTGCCACATTTTCTTAATCCAATCTATCATTGATGGATATTTGGGTTGGTTCCAAGTCTTTGCTATTGTGAATAGTGCCGCAATAAACATATGTGTGCATGTGTCTTTATAGTAGCATTATTTATAATCCTTTGGGTATATACCCAGTAATGGGATGGCTGGGTCAAATGGTAATTCTAGTTTTAGATCTATGAGGAATCTCCACACTGTCTTCCACAATGGTTGAACTAATTTACACTCCCACCAACAGTGTAAAAGTGTTCCTATTTCTCGACATCCTTTCCAGCATCTGTTGTTTCCTGACTTTTTAATGATTGCCATTCTAACTGGCGTGAGATGGTATCTCATTGTGGTTTTGATTTGCATTTCTCTGATGGCCAGTGCTGATGAGCATTTTTTCATGTGTCTGTTGGCTGCATAGATGTCTTCTTTTGGGAAGTGACTGTTCATATCCTTTGCCCACTTTTTGATGGGTTTTTTTTTTTCTTGTAAATTTGTTTGAGTTCTTTGTAGATTCTAGATATTAGCCCTTTGTCAGATGGGTAGATTGCAAAAATTTTCTCCCATTCTGTAGGTTGCCTGTTCACTCTGATGGTAGTTTCTTTCGCTGTGCAGAAGCTCTTTAGTTTAATTAGATCCCATTTATCAATTTTGTCTTTTGTTGCCATTGCTTTTGGTGTTTTAGTCATGAAGTCCTTGCCCATGCCTGTGTCCTGAATGGCATTGCTTAGGTTTTCTTCTAGGGTTTTTATGGTTTTAGGTCTAACATTTAAGTCTTTAATCCATCTTGAATTAACTTTTGTATAAAGTGTAAGGAAGGGATCCAGTTTCAGCTTTCTACATATGGCTAGCCAGTTTTCCCAGCACCATTTATTCTCATTTCTTTTGCTTGTCTGGGCTGTAATCTGGGGCAAAAGAATAGAGACATCAAGTCAAGGGATAAATAAAGCTACTTTGGCTACCTCTCAGCTATTCATGTTATTAAGGTCTCCTCAATTCAGAATAGGAAGGAAGACAGTTGGCTTCCTGCAGTAAAAACACTGGAGAAGTGTCCTTTGGCATGACCAAATCCATAGACATGGCCACTGGTATAGGACCTCAAAAGCATGGATTGATGGGGAATGCGAAAATAACAAGGTTTTCCCATATCTTCTGGAATGGCAATTTTCCTACAAGGATGTTTCAAGTATATTTTTTTCTTTTTTGATGAAAATAAAAGGAAAAAGCCAATATCATATTTTCATCATATTACTTTCCCAAGTACGGGACACTCTTGGAAGCCCTTGAGCTTCATATTTCTGCAGGGTCAGAAGGATATACCCATTTGCAGAGTTATAAAATAAGGATGACGCATATGAAGAAGTTTTTTCTAACTTCCCACTAAATGGAGCTGCAACACAGAGTTAGACTTTTGGAAATGTATGTATAGAAATAAACAAACACTTAAAAAAAAGTGAAATCCATTGCTACTGCCATGGATGTCAACCCATTTTTTGTATAATTAAGAAAAGAGAGTGCCCTCCTCCACCTGTCTTCTTTTTCAACTAGAGATAATCATAGTAAATAATTTGATTAATATGCTTCCAAATGTTTTCCTATGCTCATACAATCTATCTATACCCCCTTACACTCATGCATATATATGCAAATGCATAAACATGTACACATATTTCTTTTAAAATACAGGCAGTATGAAAGTCTCTTAGAAGATTAAAAGCAGAACTACCATATGATCCAGTAGTCCCATTACTGAGTATATATCCCAAGGAAATTAATTAGTATATAGAAGAGATATCGGCACTCTCATGTTTATTGTAGCATTATTCACAATCGTCAATATATGAAATCAACGGGTGAATAGACACATCCATCAATGGATTAATGGATAAAGAAAATGGGGTTCATATACACAATTGAATACTCTTCAGCCATAAAAGGGATATCATGTTATTTGTGACAACATGGATGAACCTGGAGGACATTGTTTAGTGAAGTAAGGCAGTCATAGAATGACAAACACTACACGATCTCATTCATATGTGGAATTTTAAAAAGTTGATCTCATAGAAGTAGAGAGTAGAAATGGTGGTTGCCAGGGGCTTGGGTGGTTGGTGGGTGTTGGGGAGATTTTGGTCAAAGGATACAAAATTTCAGTTAGATAGGAGGAATAAGTTCAAGAGATCTATTGTACAACATGGTGACTAAAATAAATAATATACTGCATTCTTGAAAAATTCTAACAGAGTGGATATAAAGTGTTCTCACCACAAAAATGATAACTGTATGAGGTAAAGAATATGTTAATTAGCTAGATTTAGTCATTCTGTAACATATATATATATATATACTTCAAAACATCATGTTGTACACAGTAAATTCATACAATTTCATCTGTCCATTAAAAAAAAAAGGCAGATGGGATTATGCTCTGTTATTCTCTAACTTCCATTTCCTCCAACATGCCCTAGCTGCAGTCTGAAGCTTCTGGTGAAGATGAAGTTTGGTTACTTAGCTTTGTCTTTTTTGTGCTCCTGCCACCCAATAGCTTTGGGATCTTGTTCTTCTGCAGATCACCTTTATGGGCCACAAGGTTGCTACAGATGATGTGCTTGGCATTGCTGCGTTACCACAGTGCCACCACCAGCTTTTGGTCAGCAGCATTTGGCTTTCCACCCCTTTTGACTTCCCTCCTGTAAGCCACTTCGTGCTGCCTTCCCTCTATCACTCCCAACATCACCACACTCTTTGAACAACACTGTGTCATTGTGGCTGCTGCCCTGCTGCAGCCTCTGCAGCTGTTGTTCCTCAGTTTCCCAGAAGGCCTGCTGCTTCTGATGGGCACCTGTCTTTAACAGTGGTGTGGAATGTCAACCTGGCTGGCCAAGCCATCACCAGTGAGGCACCAGGATACCCTCCTCTTCAACTCATAGCCCATTATGTTTTGCTGTAGTTCTTCTTAGGCATCATCAGGGGCTCCTGTGGTAGAAAGTTGAGAGCTCTGTAATTACATCAGCCAATAGTCAAAAGGGCTCAGGATCCCATCCAGTCAAATGAAGAACAAATACCTTTGGCTGTAACTAAATGTCCATACAGGCGGTTAGCTACAAAGGACTGCAATATTGAAGACTCGGCCCCTGGTATTTTGTGATAAAGTGGAGTATGCCAGTGTTTATGGAGTAAGGAACAACCTTCTTTACATTTATAGGTAGAATGAATCTTTCTGTTAAACTTCTAGGAAAATCAAATTATTTACAAACTTCTCAAAATGCAACTGTTTTCTGTTTGTATTGAATTACTCTATATTGAAGAAGATAAAAATGAGGCATTTTAAAATATAGGAGATACATATGAAGGTTCTATGCCTTTGTACCATGTAATTCCACACAGCTAAAGTTTGCATGTCCTTTGAAATTAAGAGAAAATAACATAACACATGTTTGCTCTTTCAAGAAAAGCCTTTTCAGGCCGGGCGCGGTGGCTCACGCCTGTAATCCCAGCACTTTGGGAGGCCGAGGCGGGTGGATCATGAGGTCAGGAGATCGAGACCATCCTGGCTAACAAGGTGAAACCCCGTCTCTACTAAAAATACAAAAAATTAGCCGGGCGCGGTGGCGGGCGCCTGTGGTCCCAGCTACTCGGGAGGCTGAGGCAGGAGAATGGCGTGAACCCGGGAAGCGGAGCTTGCAGTGAGCCGAGATTGCGCCACTGCAGTCCGCAGTCCGGCCTGGGCGACAGAGCGAGACTCCGTCTCAAAAAAAAAAAAAAAAAAAAAAAAGAAAGAAAAGCCTTTTCTGGAGTATCCTAAGAGAGATAAATAGTCTCTAGAGATTAAAACCTCTTAAAGATTTGGGTTTACCTTTCAGTTCTGCCATATTGGATCAGATTTGGTCAGTTTCTTTCTCTGAATTTCAGTTTTATTATTCAAAAATTGAGTGGGCTGGTTTTATTGGTGTTTGATATTCCCAGAAAAGCCATAAAATCTCAGTCCTTTCAGCTTCTAATGCCCATGGTGCTTCTACTTTTGTCTAGAGATTATTAAAACTCTCTCTTATAAAAGGATGCAAATATATTTTTGTAGCCGGGGCTGGAGAATCAAGTGAATAGATTTAGAGAGAAAGGGGGAAGTATGCGGTCATCAGTCCTACCTGGGATCACAGTTATAACCTACACAGGGAGTGGATGCTGAAGTCATCTTCAAAGGAGAATAATTACATATGGTCAAAAGCATCCTTGAGAATACCTTAGGAAATCATCACATCAGAGTCTGACATACTGTCTCTCAGTAAGTTCAACATGACCAGCTTTCCCTGCAGCAACAGAACATATTGAGTGCAAATGAAGTGGTTGACTTTTGTTTAAAGGCCATGTTTCACGAAAAAGTAAAAATCCTTAAATACAAGAATCATACTCAGAGAGGCCAGTTGGCAGTAAGTAAAATGTACTTGATAACTAAGACTCCAAAAATACATTCTCACATACATTCTGGGGCTTGCTATCATTGATTGTAGTGGGAGACTCAATAGCCTGAAATAATTAAATGTCTCTTTTCCTCATTTAGTTATTTTTAGCCAGATGTATATAGCTTAATTTATCCAGGAAATGTGCTTTTTTTCCACATACTGCTAATACTGGCTTAGGTAAGACCTCATCATCATCTGACTAATTCTTACAATAACTGCCTTTCTCTTGGTCTTTCCTATTCTCTTCTCTATCCATTAACCATTTGCTTTCCTAAACCTTTTTTTTTTTTTTTTTTTTTTGAGACCGAGTCTCGCTCTGTCACCAGGCTGGAGTGCAATGGCTCAATCTCAGCTCACTGTAACCTCTGCCTCCTAGGTTCAAGCGATTCTCCTGCCTCAGGATCCCGAGTAGCTGGGACTACAGTCGCGCACCAACATGCCCAGCTAATTTTCCTATTTTTAGTAGAGACAGGGTTCCACCATGTTGGCCATGATGGTCTCGATCTCTTGACCTCGTGATCCACCTGCCTCAGTCTCCCAAAGTACTGGGATTATAGGCGTGAGCCACTGCGCCTGGCCTAAACCATTTTTTTCTAAAATGAAAATCTATTATGCATGAAACCCTTGCAATGACTCTCATGTCTATTGCAGCTTTTTCCAAAGTGTGTTCTGTGGAATACTAATTAAGGAATGTACTTCATAACAACTAAATGATTTCATGTGTTATTTTTAAAGGCAAAGTTATACCAAATATGTACAGTTTATCTACTTTTAGAAGATTTAAAATTCAGATTAATGTATTAAAGGCTATGAGATGTCCCATGTTTCCCACTTATTAATATTTGACCAGAATGTCTTTATTTTTCCTAATAACATTCATTGCATTAAAGAAAAGGCATGTTGGAATTACTAAGTTGCAGATGGAATTTAAGTTCCTGAGCATGGCATTACAAGGTCTTCCATGAGCTGTCCCTAGCTTATCTTCAATACTGTCCATGCTGCTCCATCTCAGAGGTGGCGTGCAGGTGAAATAAGAGCCCTGACCTAGGCTTAGGATTCAGGAGGTCCACCATGTTTTAGAGCACCTTCCTTGAAGTTTTCTGTATTCTCCTCATGAAAATCTTGAGACTAACTGGGATGGAAATACCATCTGGATGAGGCACTTTGAGGTCAGATTGAGACCTATGTAGGCCCTGGTCCATATTTCTTTTCTTCAAGGTGCTCTCCAACCCTCTACTACCCGTATGAGGTTGAACAGGTACCCTAAGGAGCTCAAGGACTAGTATGGTACTTCTTTGGCATAATTGTATGAAAATGAGCCACAAAAAGGATGCTGATGTGTTCATTTTGAGTTACTGCCCTCATGTTAGACACAGGATGAGTTCAGGGATCTGGGCTACTGACAGTCCATGGATGATGCTTGAGTTATATATGTAGAACCCCATGTTGCCTCTCACCCATCTGTGTCCTGACTGTGATGCTTCCTCTGGTCTATAACAACTGAAGGTGGTGGGGTGGAGGCGGATATTCTTTTCCCTGTGTGTCTATCACTGCTGGCATCCCACCTCCTCCACAGGCTCCATGGCATATGTCAGTTCATTCTCTACAAGTGGCTGCCCTTGTCTGATCAGAAGGCTTTTACAAATGGCAGCATCAACAGGCCCTGCTGATCCATGTCTTTCTTATCTCCACCCCTGTGGTGACATTGTGTTCTCCTAGGTCAGTCTTGAGCTGGATGAAGGACAAAGATTACTTATGCAAATGAGACTACTCTTCTTCCCCTGCCTGCCCCCTTTCCTATATTTCCTTTCTGTGGCAGTGTGCAGGACACAGGTGTGCAATTTGCATACACAAGTCACATTCTAGGAATGCCATAGTAATGGCCTAAAGAGTCCAAGAGAATAATGGGAGGAAGGTGGGTTGTTCTACCATAACGTTCTAAATGATAAATCTATTGTGGCTAAAAAATTATCTTTCACATTTTTTTGCAAGAGTTACATTTGTAGTTATCATCAAGTAAGCAGAGTAAAAGCTTTTAAGAGTCATTGGAAGCCAGTATCCACAGGCAGCATGAGAATGATGCAGAATCATGACTAATGATGTAACCAGCATTAAATAGGTGGCATTAGGGAACATCAGAGGCAAGAAAGCCTGTAGTGTTTCATACAAACAGGTTCTGAAAAGCCATGACATTGTGTAGTTATAACAGTGCTGATGCCTTTTTATTGCAGTAGGAAATATGAAAATAGCTAGGAATGGTGCATTTGACAATACAAAATAAATCACTATGCTTTGTATGTGTCCATCAATCTTGTAATACAGTTTTAACCAATACACTGGTCAGGAGCCCTCAAATATATTTGGTCAATATCTCACATTCTCTAATGGTGGCCTTGCTTACCTTGCTATATTCATCTCTTGCAATTTCCGTGTATACACTTTAATTTCTAGCAATTTCAAACTACTTATTTCATGCTTTTGGCCACGGTATCCTCTTTCTGACAACTCTTATGCATCCTTTAAGACAGCTCAGGCCTCTCCTGAGACTCCAACTTCTCACAAACAGTTTCCCCTTTCCTCTTTTGATCTCTGTCAGACTTTCATTACTTCTGCTGCCATTGGAGGGCTGAGGTTTATCCTGGGATGATCGCAGGAGGTCATAGTCACTCCCTCTTCCCTGACCCTTCATCGCCCCTCCTAGGGCTAAGCATATGGAAACCCAAGAGAGCATAGTTCTCATGTTTTATCATGCCCTTTTTAACAATCTGTGTATTTAGGTAACGGAGAGTTTCCTGCAGGTAAAAATGGTGGCTGAAGATTTCAATTTTCTGTTCTCAAAGGTTTGTGACCCTGGAGAAGCGAAGAATAATTTCCCTACCTCTCATGAACAGAAAGTTACCAGTGATTTATCACAGCTCTCACTGAAGGCGGAGCTCTCTCCAACTGCTAAAATTACAGATAGCATGCACGTGATTATTTAGCTTGTTTCATCATGCAATGGGAGATGAAATACAAGAGGAATGATTATAGCAACACAACCATATTGGAAGAAAGTCCCAGAATTCAGTCTTCAATTACAGTTTTAAAAGCTTCCAGGATTCTATCCCTCTGTTGGGATAAGGGAGCTTCCTTAATGTTCCTGAACCTTGCTTGAGAGGGAAAGCCTGACTTCAAGAGGTCTGACTTCCTGCATCATCCTGGCTGCCTGGGTCTTCTTGGCCATCACCAAGAAGAATGCCATTATTCTGCCTCATTCTGAAAGTACTGACATAAAATCCTTCTTTCATCCCAGGCCCTGATTAACTTCAATCGCAGGGAGAATTTCAGGATCTTTTTGGGTTACCATTGATTAAAAATTTTGTTCCAGCATTTTTTTTTTTTTTTTTTGGTTTATATGCTTGTTTTCTTTGGCTTTGATACTCTAAGCATCACTTTACAGCCTTGATGGAGAATTCACTGTTGGAGTTCTCCCTCTCTGAAAACTTAGATGTAGCAAGTCTTCCCTGTCCACTGATACTTGGTCATAAGTTAGTATTGTGAGTCCGAGGCACTGTCTGCCACCACACCCTTGTTCTAAGAAATGCTTCAGTTCTCCACAGCAATGATCATCTTCATGACTAGGTGGCTGGGAACACTTGGCATAAGCATTTCTCAGCCACTGAGGAGTTAAATCTCAGTACCTTATTAATGGCATGTTTGAACCATGACTCAAAGTTATTTTCTCTGTCCTCTGGCTTAGTTCTTCCTAAGAACTTCCTCAGTTTCTGGTGGAAGAAAGTTTGTACCCATGGATTATATGACTGTTTCACTGAAGTTCCACAATAACAGCCCAGTCCTTAGGGGAACCTGCCTCCACTGGCACAGCGTAGCAGTAACTTAAAGCCCTTCCAAGGAGGTCTGGCATTGATTTCCTCTTGTCATTTTAAAAGGACTCTGAAGTCTTAGGATAATGAGGATCTATATAGTTTAAATTAAAAACTATCCTCCTTTCAAGTCTGCAATTTTGCATAATGCTGTGCCAGCATCAGTTCTTAACTTGCTCCCCACTGACTTTGTACTTATATTCCAAGAACCATTATGACTCACATCTAATTTAGCCTTACTCCCTTGTATCCTGTGTCCAGTAGTCAGACAGTCATGGTGAAAATAAGTCCTTGGCACAGATCTGTGTTGATTTGTTATTCAGAAGCATACTGAGTATTATAACTAAATACAAAATCACAGGAAAGAAAAGAAATCCTGAAAAAAAAAAAACACAAAAAAACCCAAAAACCTCTGGCATCTTAATGTGATCCAGCCTATGCACAGCATTTCACTAAAATAACACAGTCTAACAACCAAATATAATTAAAGAGAAATTCCAGTATTGGTTTAACATCTCAAAATGGCAACTTGTAATTCACAGAAATATTTTTCCTTTTCTCAACTCTCCAAGCCTCAGCTCTACACAGCTGCTTTCACTCCTTTTTGCTGAATACCCCTACTTTATTCTCACTTTAGTCCTCATTCCTCAGCTTCTCTTCAACCTTTTCTCCATCTTCCCTCTTTTGGCCACAATGCTGCACCACTAGCTGGCTCAAGTGGCTGACCACCAAGACTTCTGGTTCCACTAAAGGTCACACCAGGCTACAATAAGACAGGACTTGGGGGGAATATGTGGGGTCAGGCTCTGTTTGGTTTTAATGTGTTTCCTTCAAAACTCAGATGCTGAAACATAATGGCCAGTGTGATGGTATTAAGAGGAGGTAACTAGGCCATAAGGACTTGTCCCTCATGAGTAAAGAGTGTTTTTTGCTTTGTTTTGTTTTGTTTTGTTTTTGAGAGGGAGTCTTGCTCTGTCACCTGGGCTGGAGTGAAGTAGCTCGATCTCGGCTCACTGCAACCACCATTTCCCGGGCTCAAGCAATTCTCCTCCCTCAGCCTCCCAAGTAACTGGGATTACAGGTGCATGCCACCACTCCTGGCTAATTTTTGTATTTTTAGTAGAGATGGGGGTTTTACCATGTTGGCCAGGCTGGTCTCGAACTCCTGACCTCAGGTGATCCACCCACCTCGGCCTCTCAAAGTGCTGGGATTATAGGCATGAGCTACCGCACCCGGCCAATAAAGAGTTTTATAAAAGAGGTTTCGTGCAGCTTTCAGCTAACTTGCTCTTTTGCTCTTCTAATATGTGAGGACATAACATTTGTCTCTTTTGCCTTTCCTGCCTTCTGACATGTGATGATGCAGCAAGAAGGTCCTCCCAAGATGCCAGTGTCTTGATCATGAACTTCCCCGCCTCCAGAATTGTGAGAAAATACATTGCTGTTCTTTAAAGATTACCCAAGCCTGGGTGCAGTGGCTCATGCCTATAATTTCAGTACTTTAGGAGGCTGAGGTGGGAGGAGTGCTTCAGACTAGGAGTTTGAGGCCAGTATGGGCAACATAGACCCCCATCTTTACAAAAAATAAAAAAAATTGCTCTGTCTAAGGTATTTTGCTATAGCAGCATGAGCAGACTAAGACTGGCCTCTAGTATTCTCTCTCCATGGATGTAAATAGTCAGAATCCCTTGAGAAATTTGGCCTTTACTCACTTTAAATGGTTTTCTTATTGAAAATTCACATGGGGCCTTTTATTTGGGGGTGGGGGGCACAGGGTCTCACTCTGTCACCCAGGGTGGATTGCAGTGGTGTGATCATGGTTCACTGCAGCCTCAAATACCTGGGCTCAAGCAATCCTCCCACCACAGCCTCCTGGGTAGCTAGTACTACAGATGCATGCCACCATGACTGACTAATTTTTAAATTATCTGCATAGATGAGGTCACATGTTGGCCAGGCTGGTCTTGAACTCTTGGGTTGAAGCCATCTTCCCACCTTGGCCTCCCGAAGTGCTGGGATTACAGGTATGAGCTACTGTGCCTAGCCACATGGAGCAATTTTTGAGAATAATATTCTCTACCAAAACATGTATCACCAACATATTAGGAGAAGAAATTGTAAGCCCAAACCGGAGATTCAGCTGGAGTACAGGAGTCTGTTAAGAGGTCCCAATTTTATCCTGATGCTTACTGACTTCACAGGTTATCATAAGGGTCAAAAGTGTTTCCTCCATAGTCCATAAGAATAATCAAGATTGCATGGAGAAATGTTTAAAAACAGAATGAAGAGCTACAATTGGAGGAATTGCTGCCAAGCAGGAAACCTGCCCAGGAAGTGGAGCAGGTAGGCAGGAAGGTAATGAAAGCACTCTGGGCTTAAATCTCAAACTACCTACTAGAGAGGGACAGGAGAAAGGCAGCAGAAGCAGATTTGAAGGACACCTGTACATGCCTCTCCCATCTTCAGCAAGATTCATAAAGAAACAGAGTATTTTTAAAAAAGAAAATAAAAAACATTGTGGAGTTGCAGTGAGAGGAAAAGGCTATTTAGAGAACATTGTCAAAAGGAGATTGGCCATGAGTTGAAGTCCCAGCTCATCTATTTAATAGATAAATGATCTTGTACAAGTTATTTTCCCTCTCTGTGGCGCAGTTTCCCCATTTGTAGTAGGGAAGCAATCATCCTGCTTAATTGGTACTTACTTCACAGGCACTGAGAACAGCTGTTCAGCCAGAGAGATCTCTGGGGAGGCTCCTAATGGACAGAGACTATGTGGTTCTTCTGAGCAAACTAAAAATAAAATAATCAATAGCTTTGTATTGGGAATTGATTACAAAGATATTTCAAATCTCTGAGAGTTCAAGTAAGAAGAGTTTGTACTGAAAAGTATAAATATAAAGTTCTGGCATGGGGACAAGATGAACCCTCTGTCTAGCACATTTCATTTAGGAGTATAGAATGGTTAGCTTTGGTAGAGGAACTAGTCAGAGAAAGGTATGTATCATACCATGAGAAGTAATAGGAAGGGGCCTGCAAATCACATATTCATTCATCCATTCACTCATTCATTCATTCATACATTGAGCATTTACTGAGTATCTACTACCTGTGTTAAGTGCTAGAGTTATATCAATGAACAAAATTCCAACCTATAGTTGGGTAGAGGAGCCAGTCATTTGACAAATAAGTGCATATATAATTTAATTTTAATAAATGTGTCTCTGAGAAGCACACTATACACGGAATACATAAAATCAAAACCCTGAGAGTTTACAAAAAGTTTCCCAAAATCCAAGTTGAGATAAAAAAGATGAATAAAAATTGATCAAGTGAATAAGAAAGAAAAGAAAATTCCAGACAATGAGATGAACATGTGGGAAGACCCTGATCCCAGAGACAGACTGGTATCTGTGGGAAACTGAAAGTTGATCAGACAGTAGATTCAGAGGAGCATGTGCATGCAGGAGAATCATTTCAAACAAAGCTGAAAAAGCAGGCAGCAAAAATGTGTGGAAGGGTGAAGGGGTAAGGACCTATCAATGGCTGCTGTAAATTCAATAGATAAATATAAATTTTGTTTGTAACATTTAGGAGCAAAGTGGCTAAGGTATGAAAATTTCCCAGGACCCTTAAACTAAAACAAAGGGAACCCAGTCTGCCCTGACGCATGGCCACGTGGGACAGGGACAGAGAGAAAGATCTATGCAAAGAACATCTGTGCAGATGAGTGCAGAGAAGATCCTCAGATTATAAGGAAACAGAATACAGGGAGCTGAAGCTTTTCCTAGAAAAAAGAGATGAAAACCATTTGGCTTTGTGGGAGGAGATTATAGAAAAAACTAAGACAAAACTGAAATACTGCAAGAAAAAGTGAGGAGAAGCACAGATAGCTGAGGAGTAAAAAGAAATAGTTTTCTGACATAAAAATTTCTAGAGGGGAAGCAGGCCAATTCTTCTCCCCTAAGATTCTTAGAAATAGGAGGGAAAAAGCTACAAGACTGAGAAAAGTAGGTTAGTAGGCCCCGTTTACAAGAATCTTAAAATGCAATAATAAAATGGTAGTGGCTAACATTTTGACCATTTACTGTAGGCAAGGAGAACTATCTATATTATTGTGTTTAATCCATCTAGCAACCTGGTACCCAACCTGATTAGGCACCATGATTGCTTCCCTATTACAAATAAGAAACTGAGCCATAGAGAGGGGAAATATAACTGTCCAAGATCATTTATGTTTTAAGTAGATGAGCTGGGACTTAAACTTGTTGTGACTCTAGAGCTTGGTAAATAATACTTTACTGGCTTTCTACATTGCCTTCCCTAGAAAGGAGGAAATTGTACAAAGACAATGGTAGATTGAAGAGCTTCAGATTCAAGAAGAAAGGAATAGTGAAGAGGAGTTAACAAAAAGCTTGGCAGACATTTATCAATTCATCACACGAGGGTCATAGATTATTTCTAGTTGGATGGTCCAGGACACTAAGATGGATTCTTTCAGTGCTAGTATTTTTTAAATACGAAGTTCACACATTCATGAGATCCAGTTAGTCCAGGTCTTCTTTTCTAGCTTAATACAGTGCAAAAATGTACCATCAAGAGTTATGGAAGAGGATAAAAAAACACATTTCCTCAGCTGGCCTTTTGGAAAGGTGATGAACTCCTGTTTTCAGAAAGCCCGACTTTGCATCCTTTTGGCCAGATTTCTCACCAACTGACTAGAGAACAGACTGAGTTTTTTAAAAAATAATTTTCCCTTTCATTTTTAATAATAGTTATAACATTTTATGACTTTTCTTACAAGCTCCGCTAACTGAAGGGAAAATTACAAGTTTAGATGATAAACTTATAAGAATAATGTCAAAGTAACATGGGGATGACTAGGGATCAGTTTTGGTGCTGTTTAGTATACTTACATTTGCTTGTGTGCAATCAACCTTTTTATGTGGTGACATCTATTTGCAGGTAATACTAAGTCTCAGGTACCTAAATCTACAATGGCATTAAAATGTGATTGTCTTTATTGATCCAAGGGAAATAGTCTTGATACTGACTTAGTAGTAAATTAGAAAATTGTTCCTTGGTAGTAAATCAGAAAAATAAAAAACACAAATGAGTTTTATATTTTTTGATATCCTGAGCCACACTCAACATGAACATGGTTGCTGAAGAAAGCTAAAAGTTTAATTTCATGTGAGTTCTTCAGGCAACATATTATTCAGAATTTTTCTTATTTCACAATCCCTTACCATTCAGCTGATTCTTTGGATGCCTTTGCTCATTCACTCAGTATGCTGGTGATGCACCAGTAAGCACAGTCCATACCAATGAGACGTTAGCAGTCTGAGGGAGGATCTTAATGTCTCTTAATATTTCTTAAAATAATTAAATATTTCCATGGCAAATTTTTTACTGTTGTACAATGTTTCAGAATTCAGCTCCTAACCAATAATAAGTTATGATTCTATTATTCCTTCAGAAACAAACAAGCATCATTTCTAGAAAGGTGGGTAGGTGTCCGCCATAATAAAATGCCCTAAACTGGATGACTCACAGTTGTAGAGACTGGAATTCCAAGATTAAGGTGCCAGCATGGTTGGTGTCTGGTGAGGGCCTTGCAGACGGCCACCTTTTTGATGTGTCCTCACATGGTGAAGACAGAGAAGTCTTTCTTTCTTCATCTTCTTTTCCCTCCTAGCTTTATTAAAGTATAATTGACAAATAAAAATTTTGTATACTCAAAGTATACAACATTATGATTTGACATACGTATATTTTTGTGTAATGATTACCACAATCAAATTAATCAACACTTCTATTACCACACATAGTTGCACTTTTGGTTTGTCCAAGAGAAGTGAGGACACTTAAGGTCTACTCTTTTAGCAAATTTCAAATAAACAATAAAGTATTAACTATAGTCACCATGCTGTATATTGGAACTTATTCATCTTAGAACTGAAAGTTTGTACTCTTCAACCAGACCAACATCTCCTCATTTCCCCCACAGCCCGGAATATGTAAGACCTGAAACTGTAAAACTCCTAGGAGGTTTATATGTTCATGCCTGTAGTTCCAGCTACTTGGGAGGCTGAGGCAGGAAGATAGCTTGAGCCCAGGAGTCTGATGCCATGGCTATGATTGTGATACTGCTCCACTAAACTCCAGCCTGGGTGACAGGGTAAGACCCTGTCTGTCTAAAAAAAAAAAAAAAGGATGGGGCAGGGGGATGCCCCTTGACATTGGCCTTGGCAAGGATTTTTTGGATATCACTCCAAAAACACAGGCAAAAAAGCAAAAAATAAGAATAAACAGACGGGACTACATAAAAGTAAAATGCTTCTTCACAGCAAAGGAAACAATCAACAAAATGAAAGGCCAACCTACAGAGTGAGAGAAAATATTTGCGAACCACATATGTGATAAAGGTTTAATATCCAAAATATATAAGGAACTCATACATCTCTTTCTCTTCTTTTAAGGCCACAGTCCTACGGGATTAGGATCCTTCCCTATGACTTCATTTAACCTTAATTACCTTCTAAAGACCCTATTTCCAGATACAGTCACACTGGGAGTTACAGCTTTAGGATATGAATTCCAGGGGGAAAGGGGGGGCATACAGTTCAGTCCATATCAGTTAAGAACGTTATAAAGGCATTTGTCCACAAATCTTTCAAATCTGATTAATTTATTAATTGGTATTAATACAAACTTGTGTTAAAAAGGACTTAAGGTCATCTGGTTTAATTTTCTCTTAAAAACGGAAACTCCTTCTCTAATCGGGGTGTTTCTAAAGAAAATACTCGAGGATTTCTTGATTTCTATGTCTCTATGTTACCTTTTATTCTTCATAAGTAAAAGTAATAATTTAATATCTTTTAAAAGTTTTTCACTATCTGAAAACACCCAAATCAACTTGCAAGGACTGCGCTTTTAAAACAGTAAGTTTTATAAGGATATATATTTTTTTTCAGTTGTATTTCTCAATTGAGTGAAAAAATATGTAGTATTAAATCTCTGTTCTCTTGCTTCACTTTCCCTTTTACTCCGAGGGACAACAAAACAGTACTGGCTAACTACTCTATTAATGGTGCACTCTCCAGGAACTGCAGTCCCCACTGTGCTGCCATTACAAGTAGTCAGAAAAGGTCATTGTGACTTAAAGTGAGCGCTGCAGGTGAAACAAGCTGGATCCATGAGTCAGTGATGACTCATTCTCAGATCATTCTGCCATGCGAAGCTTAACAGCATCTGGTATGAAAAACTCCACAGACATGCCAAGTTATTCACAATTGTTTCATGTACATTATTTCCAGTCTTCAAATTTAACAAATGTTTATTATTAGTTTATCGTAAACAGGGACTGTTCTCAGTCAACAAACATTTACTGAGCTTCATCTCTGTGCACTGGATGGCACTGGGGATAAAATACAAATAGGATATGCAGTGACTTCTACAGTAATGAGAAGGAAACCCCAGAGCCTTGGCCAGTGCAGATAAAACCTGGCCTTTTCTTTGACTCCACACCAGCAGAGACTCAGACACCCACATGTTCTCCTTCATGAATACTCACAGACTTATCATTACCACCTGCTTCAGCACCATCAAGGCTCAGCTCATGGTGCCATTGATTTCTGCTTCGAATCACCAGAGCAGCCCAGACTCCCAGGTCATCCTTTATCCCTCAGATTTTTATCTTCCTGTCACTTCATACAAATAACTCCTAATCCATCGCCCATGCTACTTCAAGCTCTGAAACCCTTCCACTGTAAATTCTTAGACTCAAGATCAATCGGGAGCAAAATCTCCCGTATCTTCAGACTATTCTCTGAATGCTTCCTTTGCCATCTTGCTAAAAACTGGGTCACCCTAAGCTCACTGCTTTCCTTGTAGAACCCCTAAGTGGAGGGTATTTTCTCTCTAAAACCCTCTTGCTGCTGGTCTCTGAAGGAGATTGTTATATGCCTTCCTTGTCATCACCACTTCAGACCACTTCTCTTTCCCATTTCCTGACTTCCCCTTTCCTGCTACTGCTACACACACACAGAGCTTTACACAACAGGTCATCCAACTAGAACACCGACTGGTCCTTCTAGTTGTGCTCCTCTTCAGATCCCCAGATTACTCTCTCACTGCCTAAAGCTTTTAGAGCCTGGCTCAATGAACTCTTTCCAATTCTATTATTGCCATCATTTTTGGTGGTTTTTAATATTCATGTCGATGATCCTTTCAATGTCTTAATCTCTAAGTTCCTTGACACTCTATCTTTCAAGAATCTATCTCTCAACCATAGTTTACCCATTTACCTCCAAGGTCACACTTTTGGCTTTATTATTACCATAAACTACAAATAATCTAGTCTCATGGTTACGAAGGATTTGTACTCTGATGACCCTCAAATTTTATCGTCAGCTGCATATCTTCTCTGAAATTAAAAATTACAAACTAATTCATAATTTGCCTATATGTACCTGCTATGCTCATTCACCGCAAGAGTGTGCTAGGCCCAACAGTATTGTATTTAAAGATCAGAAAATCTTAGCTTTATTTCCAGCTCTGATACTTACCTTTATATGCAAGTTGTTGTTCCCAATTCCTCTCTGTTCCCTATAAGAGGATTATACTCCCCCTGCTTCTAGCAACAGGCTTGGATATGTGACTTGGTTTAGTGAAAGAAATATAAACAGAGTGTTTTATGCTAAGTCTTAGCAAAAGCTCTAAGAGCCATATGTGGTTCCAGCACTGCTCTTTTTTTCTCTGCCATACAACGGAGAAAGGGCTGCTTCTTCAGTGTGGATCCTGGAATCAAGAAGATGTAGGACACAGTCAAAGGTAGTTTACAACTGCACTTATGTGAGTGGGAAATAAACCCTTGTCATTGTAACCTACTGAGTTTGGGGTTCATTGCACAGCATAATCTAACAGATTTGGATGTGTCAGAGTTTCCTAATTTATGCAATGAGGACAATAATGATATAACTTTCTTGTCCATGTCAGAAAGTTGTTGATGGGATTAAGTGAGAAATACATATGAAAAATGTTTTATAAAATTCTACTATGCTATTAGCATTATTACTGGAACTGGAAATATATGGAATTTCAAGATCTAAAGTTATTTATGCTTCTTTATCCCTGCACACAAGCCATTCAATGGAAATACAGCATGTGAGATATGCTAACGTGAACAAATCATGATTTTATTCTTTCTTATTTACTAAAAAAGTAAGGCTGATGTTTAGAATATCAAGAATATTAATGAGACGTAGAAAAACTGTACCCTTAAGACTTCATTCCTTCAAGATAATGCCTGCCTACCTCTCTGCCCACACACATTTATTAGATACATCTCATTTCTTTTCTCTTTTCCTACGCTATGCCATTGTGTTGCATTTACAGGACTTCAAGGTTGTGTCTGAAGTTTTAGAACTCTGAGTTACCTGAGAGACATCCCAAGGAGCTTATGCCAGTGGGTGTGGGTGGCAGAGGCTGCGCATTGCAGAGTTACTAGGCACAAGGTTGGAAACATCATTCTGCCCCCACTTCCCTGCAGAGGAAGGGCATGCCAGTGGGCTGAGAGGAAGTGCTGCATGCTGAGATCAGTGAGCTGGTGCCTGTTGGGGAGGCGTGTATGTCATTTCATTAATCTTCACCTCAACCTTACCATGTTTGTGCCATTATTCCCATTCTGCAAATGAGAAAATTGAGGCTTTACATGTTGGAGGTTTTTGTATCAGTTGGTAAGAGCCAGAAATGGTTCCACAACCCAAGGCTTTCTGCTCCAAATTTCTAAGTTTTTTACTATCACGTGCTTTATCTGGACCTTTCCTTTTATATCTGGTGTCCTGGACAGTTCCAAGGTAAGTGCCCATTTTGGCCATACCATTTAAACACCTTCCTTTTTAGCATATAAATAATTCAGGCTTCAACAAGAACCTCTGGATTTTGTTTTGCGTCAGGGGATTTGAGGAGCATGCAGAGAAGGTCAAATAGTAATTATGATTCCAGTTAATGTTTCTAAAATGAAAGTTTCATTAGATATGAGAGAGAGTCTACATTTGTTCACACAGCATAGCTGAAATGTGACTGATAAGAAAATTTAAAAAATATATATAAAGAACAGAACTTTCTCTAAGCTTAGCTCTGGTAAGTATAGAAAATAAGGTAATTATTAAGAATAGGGTAAAATGGCTTCTGTAATAGAAGATAGTATTGTTATTATTCCCTGATAGGTATTTATTACTAGTTATTTGTCTCACTGAGGGACTATTCACTTCTTCTCTTCCATTTGGCTTGTGTAGACCAGTAATCCAGGTGGCTGGCCTCAATGGTTTTGATAAATAAAGAAGTCTGAGCCAGCTTCTGCTTGTGCATTTGCCTTGAAGTCACCTCAAAGATGGGTTGAGAAGGCTTTGGGCAGATGAGCATCCCCTGAGTAAAAATTCCAGAAGACAGAATGGAAAGAGTTTGACTAGGATGCTTTTAACTAATGTGAAAATGTCACAGTTTGCCATGAGTTAACAAATAATTTTATTTCCTGGAAGACAACATGACTCAGTGAAAAAAGTTCTGGAGTTGAAAAAAAAAAAATGAGTCCAAATTCAGGCTTTTTCACGTGTTTCCTTCCAGGTCTCAGGCAAGTCACTTCTTTTTTTTCCTCTTATCAGTTAATGCATGAAAAGTACTTAGAACTTTGGTATACAATAAACATATAGAAAATGTTAGCTGTTACTGTTATTTGCATAATAGAGCTGTTAACATTTACCTTATACGGTTGCTAAGAATATTAAATACCTTTTAAATAAAACATCTAATAGAGCACTAAGCCATGTTTAATGCAGTGGATAAGCTATGTCAGTATCTATGGATTATTTGGAGATTCAATAGACCTGATTTTGTTTTAGGTTACCCAGGTAATTCTAATACACACAGGTCAGGGAACCACTAACCTAGTTTACTACCAACTGTATTAGGAAGCGTAGCTATTGTTATATTTATCTAGCACCTACCATCTTCCAGGGAGAGTGCTAAGTGCCAAAGAAAAAATTTTTAAAACAATAAGAAGTTGTGTCTGTCCTCAAGAATTTAGGTGAAAATTACATATTAAA
Organism: Homo sapiens; assembly: GCF_000001405.40. Classification (NCBI taxonomy): domain Eukaryota; kingdom Metazoa; phylum Chordata; class Mammalia; order Primates; family Hominidae; genus Homo; species Homo sapiens. The sequence goes on along the minus strand of NC_000010.11, from coordinate 90,315,787 downwards.
AGATGCTTAAAAATAAAACAATAAAATAATTTATGCATTGTATCATCAGACATTAAATTCTATAAAGACTGATAAAAGTTAGAGGGCTTGTGTACACTGGGTGTAGTGGCTCACGCCTGTAATCCCAGCACTTTGGGAGGCAGAGGTGGGCGGATCACCTGAGGTCAGGAGTTCAAGACCAATCTGCCCAACATGGCAAAACCCGAATCTACAAAAAATACAAAAATTAGCCAGGCATGGTTGCGCGTGCCTGTATTCCCAGCTACTCAGGAGGCTGACGCAGGAGAATTGCTTGAACCCAGGAGGCGGAGGTTGCAGTGAGCCGAGATTGCATCATTGTAAATTGGGGTGACTTATCCATTGTCTTATTCCCCCAAAGAGTTGTCATCGAATCCTTTTATGCTTTTAGATGAAGGGTTGGTTTAACTACCTCAAAAAATATCCTTCTACCCCCAAGAATAATAATTTCCTTACCTTAAATTCATTCCAATTTAAGATATATTTATTTTCATCTTATATATTAATAATGAAAAACATACATCCAAGGAAGCCCAATTACTTAAAAAGGATTGCAATTTCCATTTATAACTCAGAAATTTTTTAGCATTTCATATTTATTATGAGCATTTATAACATATTATTGATGTATAGTGTTATTCTAAAAAGAAAACTATATATTTGATTCATGGTCTTCCTTGACTTGATAATGAAAGAGAAGCTTTAAGTACTTATAAATAAAGAATTTTAAACTTAGAACTTACTTGAGGCAGGGAAGGAGGGAGGAATTCCTACCTCTCCAGTCAGAGGAACTGAATCAATACTACCTAAAAATGAAGTGGCAGATGACCCTTATGGAGTGGTGCCACTTTTTGTAATGATGAACTCTAGTAAGTAACCATGAGAGTGAGTGGTAGAGAAGTGATGGGGAAAGGAATAGTTAGGCGTGAGCTCACAAACTGAAAAAACATGTTTTGAATGGAATGCTAGCTAAAGTCACCAAAATGAAAGTAAGCATAGTAGGTTGGAATAAAAGCCTCTGTTCCTACTTTTGCATGGAAACCAGCACCTTTACAGCCATTTCACCGTTTCCTTTTGTTTTAGTTTTGCCCCAATATTTTCCGCATCCATAAGGTATTGAAAATTTAAACTGCACTATTTCTGAAGGAACCGCCTCTGGTTCTCTGACAAATTCTGACTAGCCAGAAATGTGATAGAATAGTAGAGTAATGCTGATGTTGTCTGAGTTTTCAAAAAAGAAGAATCTAATGGATTCTGAAAACTCCTGCTCAGTGAAATTGATGTTGATCTCTGGGGAAAAATATAGAGTACATGTGTTATTAGAAAGCTTATCAGTTCTTGGACTTTCACTTTGCTTTGGCAGCTTAAATGACTAATTACGGTAGCACCACAGCCAATTCAATGACATTTTTACTCCCAAATAGAAATCTGTTTAATTAGGTGCCTTAACACTAATTGTATCTATTTTTAAAATGTCCCTTAATCTTGCTGGATTTGGATATCTAGGTAATTGTTGTTTCAAGATATTCTTGAATCATGCAGGGTATTAGGCAATGACTCATTAATAAGATTGTCTATATCTTAGAGAAGTCAGTCATTGGGGTTTATTGGCCTGAAATTGTAGGGTAATAAAAAAGTGAGTAATTGGCTAAATATGATGATTCATTGATTCCCTTTAAAATGCTATCTTAATAATATCTAAATCTCATATCTCGTATGGCTGTGAGGCACTAGAGAGTGAAATCCTGGTAAGTGGCCCATTTGAAGACATGGAAGCGTGCCAATTCCCTGAATATCTTTAGCTTTTTTATGTCCAGATGGGATTAGTGATAACTACTTAAAGGAAGACCATTCTAAAAATGATAATCCTGCTGTGATATTAAAAGACAGAAGGTTTGAGAAAAATGATGACTTGGGGTATATGATAGAAAAGTTGATACCAAAAGTTGCCTACCAAAGGAATACCTAGCATTGATCTCTCAGGTTCCAAACAGCTTACAGAAGGTCTGCGTCTTGGCAAGAATTTAGCTAAGAAAAATTACTGAGCATGATACCCTAAACAGAAAAGCTTGTCATTTTATAGTTGTAGATACTTATCTGTCTTGAGAATTCTTATGGTAATTTATGGACTCCAAGGTTTCCTGGAGATAATGAGATAATGGTTTCAAATCATTCATGAGATAAAAATTTAAGCAGACATATTCCAATCTCAAAAGTTAAGATAAGGGGATTCTAGGAAGTTGGGGCAGTGGAAGAAGCATAGTTTTAAATTAAGAACTTCCCAATCCCCATTGACAAAGCAACTAGATAACAAAGCTAAGAATATGCGAATTTTTTTTAAAAATAGCATTCCATCTAAACCCAGTGTGCAAGTTTGTGACCAAAATTTATCAATAACTTCTAGAAATTCAGTGTTAGCATCTCTGAGGGAAGAAACAGAGAGAAAAAAAAAATGGAGTAACTGAAAAATTGAGTGACCTAAGAACAAAGAATCTCAAACTCAGGTACTCATCAAAAAGCATGGAATGCCAATTTGAGAATAATGTCTAAAGCTAAAAAGGATTTTGACCACTGAGAATAGAGAAACATAAGGGGCTCATAGTAAAGTCTAAAGAAATTTGAGTAGTCTCACCTCTGTGAACTCTTGACATTGAGCAGGGAGGGCTCCCTTCAAAGAAATGGCTCAACATTGAAGAGAAGTTGCTGTGGGTTGAATCGAAATTTAACAAGATGGAGAGAAAGGAAAGAGAAAAGAAAGGTAAGAATCTAGAGAGAAACAGAGCTAGAAAACTTCAGAAAGCAAACCACCATATTTTTGCACACTACATTAAAACAGAAAAGGGAATTCTATTAAATTATAAAAGCTATTACATCTCCTAAAAATCCAGGAAAACTAACTAAAAATACAATTGTCTAATAGAAAGTATTTAAACCAAGTCCCATAAAAAACTACTATAGGAAAAAAGGGAATAAAAAGCAAAATAATATTCCCATAGATAGTGAAAGCATACCAAATAGGCATAACATAAAATACATTAAAACTGTTACCTCGTACTTCAAAGCAAACTAAAAGCTATTATTAAAATGATATGACTTTTAGAACAATATACGCCTGAATTTTAAAATACCCAGAAATGGCCAGGCGCGGTGGCTCACGCCTGTAATCCTGGCACTTTGGGAGGCCGAGGCAGGTGGATCACGAGGTCAGGAGATCGAGACCATCCTGGCTGACATGGTGAAATGCCGTCTCTACTAAAAATACAAAAAATTACCAGGGCGTGGTGGCGGGCGCCTGTAGTCCCAGCTACTGGGTAGGCTGAGGCAGGAGAATGGAGTGAACCCGGCAGGCGGAGCTTGCAGTGAGCCGAGATCGTGCCACTGCACTCCAGCCTGGGTGACAGAGCAAGACTCTGTCTCAAAAAATAAAAATAAAATAAAATAAAATAAATAAAATAAAATACCTCAAAATTCATAATTAATAATTAAGAATAAAATAAAATGAAAAATCATTTTAGAAATTAAGACTGGACTAAAAATACACAGTAATTAATAAGCACACCAAATAAGAATGGAAATAGAGTATAAAAGGAAGAATATTTATAAAGAAAGAAAAAATAAATAAAAAAATCAAGAGAAAGTAATCAATATTAAAGACAGACAAGGGAAATCCAACATACAAATAATAGACAAACTTAAAGTAAACACCGAAGCAACAGAAAAGAATAAATACTAAAAGTTAAAATTCAAAAAAACTTTCCTGAATTAAATATAAAAGACCTGTAACTACAATTAGAAAGATCATACTGTGTACCTAAAAACACGAGCCTACAGCAACCAACAGCAAAACAAATTTTACTATGGGCTTTAAAGACAAAAATAAGATTATTATTAGGCTTTTAGAAAACAACAATCTCTACCAGAACACAACAGGTTCATTTATTTTCAATTTCAAGGAAAAATTTTATACCTTGCAAAACTCACTTTTGAGTATACGTGGCATACCTGTGGTCAACATGCAAGAATTAGGGTATATTGTTGCTATATTGCCTCTCTGAGGAGTTAAACAAATTTCAGACAATCAATGTGAATGAAATAAACTGATGGTGAGCATCAATTATATACTTACAGAATAAATACTATAGTAGATAAAAAATAGAGCATAGTATGTAATGGTTATATCTTCTTACAATGCAAATATTATGCAACACACAAAAAAAGGAGGAAAATGAGAAGAGTCAAAAAAGCTTCTATATTCCAATCCCTTTTATCCTGCTCTACTTTTTCTTTTTTTTTTCTGTAGCGGGTATCAATTTCTAACACTCATGTATATTATGTATTTAGTATGTGTATTATTTATTGTTTGACTCAACTAGAATGTGAGATTCAGGAGCACAAGAATCTTTCTCTATAACACAGTAATGTAGCCCAAACATCTAGAACACATAGATGTCACTCAAAATGTGACTGATGGATAAATAGTTGAATTCCATTAACCATTAATAATGACAACATAATCTATTTAAACAGTTTGGGATATCTTATCTAACATAAACACTACTTGCTCATACAGTAAAGAAATACATTTCCAAACTCATTTGAAAGGTGTTGAAAATACTTTCACTGGACTTAATTGTACACACTTTCTTCTAAGTCCAGAGAGAACCAGGCTGTGTAGGTGCTTCTTCAGTGCCATTAGAATATAATGAAAAGAATATTCAAGTGAGTAAAATGAACTCTTAGATTTTAGATTATTATTTTTAGAGGTCAAAAACAGTGTAAATTAATTATAAATACTCTGGTAGAACAGTGAGAATAAATATGTTAATACTTCTCTAGTCTGTTTTTCTTTATTAAAATTTTTTATTTTATTTTAGATTTGGGGGTACATACGCAGGTTTGTTATATGGGCATTTTTTTTTAATTTTATTATTATTATACTTTAAGTTTTAGGGTACATGTGCACAATGTGCAGGTTATATACATGTGCCGTGTTGGTGTGCTGCACCCATTAACTCATCATTTAGCATTAGTATATCTCCTAATGCTATCCCTCCCCCTTCTCCCCACCCCACAACAGGCCCCGGTGTGTGATGTTCCCCATCCTGCCTCCATGTGCTCTCATTGTTCAATTCCCACCTATGAGTGAGAACATGCGGTGTTTGGTTTTTTGTCCCTGTGATAGATTGCTAAGAATGATGGTTTCCAGTTTCATCCATGTCCTTGCAAAGGACATGAACTCATCGTTTTTTATGGCTGCATAGTATTCCATGGTGTATATGTGCCACATTTTCTTCATCCAGTCTATCGTTTTTGGACATTTAGGTTGGTTCCAAGTCTTTGCTATTGTGAATAGTGCTGCTATAAACATACGTGTGCATGTGCCTTTATAGCAGCATGATTTATAGTCCTTTGGGTATATACTCAGTAATGGGATGGCTGGGTCAAATGGTATTTCTAGTTCTAGATCCCTGAGGAATCACTACACTGACTTCCACAATGGTTGAACTAGTTTACAGTCCCACCAACAGTGTAAAAGTGTTCCTATTTCTCCACATCCTCTCCAGCACCTGTTGTTTCCTGACTTTTTAATAATGGCCATTCTAACTGGTGTGAGATGGTATCTCATTGTGGTTTTGATTTGCATTTCTCTGATGGCCAGTGATGATGAGCATTTTTTCATGTGTCTGTTGGCTGCATAAATGTCTTCTTTTGAGAAGTGTCTGTTCATATACTTTGCCCACTTTTTGATGGGTTTGTTTGTTTTTTTCTTGTAAATTTGTTTGAGTTCATTGTAGATTCTGGATATTAGCCCTTTGTCAGATGAGTAGGTTGCAAAAATTTTCTCCCATTCTGTAGGTTGCCTGCTCACTCTGATGATAGGTTCTTTTGCTGTTCAGAAGCTCTTTAGTTTAATTAGATCCCATTTATCAATTTTGTCTTTTGTTGCCATTGCTTTTGGTGTTTTAGACATGAAGTCCTTGTATATGGGCATATTTTGTAATGGTGGGGTTTGGGCTTTTAATGTACCTATCATTCAAATAGTGCACATTGTACTTAATGGGTAATTTTTCAACCCTCACCCTTCTCCCCCAGCTATTTTGGTCTATGATTTCACTCTATATGTCCATATGTACCCATTGTTTAGCTCTTACTTGTGAGAACAAGAAGCATTTGGCTTTATGTTTCTCAGTTATTTCACTAGGGATAATGGCCTTCAGCTCCATCTATGTTGCTGCAAAGAACATGATTTCATTTTTCATGACTGCATAGTGTTCCATGGTGTATGTATACCATATTTTCTTTATCCAATCAACTGTTGATGGACACTAAGGTTGATTCCATGACTTTTCTATTTGATGTTCAATAAACATATGAGAACAGGTGTCTTTTTTATATCATGATTTATTTTCCTTTGGGTAGATACTGAGTAGTGGAATTCCTGGGTGGAATGGTGGTTCTATTTTTAGTTCTTTGAGAAATCTCCATACTGTTTTCCAAAGAGGCTGAAATAATTTACATTCCTACCAACTGTGTATAAGTGTTCCCTTTTCTTTGCATCCACACCAACATCTGTTGTTTTTGACATTTTAGTAATAGTCATTATGACTGGTATAAGATGATATCTCATTGTGGTTTTAATTTGTATTTCTCTGATGATTAGTGATATTGAACATTTTTTCTTATGTTTATTGGCTGCTTATATATCTTCTTTTGAGAAATGTCTGTTCTTGTTTTTTGCCCACTTTTTAATGGGGTTGTTTTCTTCTTGTTGAGTTGTTTGAGTCTTTGGTAGATTCTGGATATTAGTCTTTTGTCAGAGGCAAAATTTTGCAAATATTCTCTCCCATTATTGTCTGTTTGATCTTTTAATTGTTTCTTTTGCTGTGGAAATATACTTCTCTATTCTAGAACGTTTTCAGAAAACTTTATTTAAAACACTACTACTCCCTAAAGGATTCTTTTTGCAAGAGTGAAAAAGATTTTTTAAAATTGGTATTGCTAAAAGCTCTTCATTTTTATAACCTAGTTTTAAGGATATGCTGTTTTGTAAAGTGTGCTCCCAGTAAAAAGATAATTTATGCACTTGAATCAAAAAACGAATTTATTATATCTGTTTAAAATTGTACTTTTATTATAAGAATGTAAAAGAAGTGTCTCATTTTCCATTTAAAAAATGTAAATAGTTTTCCCACACAAGCATATTTTACATTTTTAAATGAAGACCTGTAGAGGATATTTGTCAAACGGCTTTTTGGCCACCAAACATCAGAACCTCCATGCCAAATATCTTTAATTCCTTCCTCCAGACGTAATCTCTATCCTTCCCAACCTGCTATCTGTGCTGGCAGTCTTGCCATATGGAATGTATTAACGGGTTCAAATTCCTCGAGTTCTGTTTAGGTTCAGCAAGAGAGGAGTCTTGGCAGGAGATCAAATGAGGTAGGGGAGTGAGATGACTCTTTCTTTATTTTTATTTTTATTTTTATTTTTTTGAGACAGAGTCTTGCTTTGTCGCGCAGGCTGGAGTGCAATGGCATGGTCTCGGCTCACTGCAACCTCTGCCTCCCGGGTTCAAGTGATTCTCCTGCCTCAGCCTCTGGAGGAGCTGGGATTACAGGTGTCCACCACCATGCCTGGCTAATTTTCTTTTTTTTTTTTAGTAGATATGGGGTTTCACCTTGTTGGCCAGCCTGGTCTCAAACTGCTGACCTCGTGATCCGCCCACCTCAGCCTCCCAAAGTGCTGGGATTCCAGGTGTGAGCCACCACTCCTGGCCACCTCTTTCAGCTGTCTACTTGAAAGATTGTCTTGAGTTGGCTGCCTTCAATGGATGCCATTGTTTCTTGGTTAGTGCTTCTTTCAAGGCTGCTATCAAAATAGCTGAAGTGGTATTATATTTTATTGGTTAAATCTGTATATCCTATTATAATTTTATTTTAATTCTCACTGGAGTTAGCCATAGTTTCACATTTCTGTCCCTTTGCTCACTTTTCTATTGGATTATTCAGTTGTGTAATTTCCCTAAATATTTAGAATAATAATCCTTTTTAGTTGTATGCATTGCAAATAGCATATTTCAGTCTCTAACTTGCCTTTTAAGTTCATTTTTTGGTCCTTTGTCATAAATAACATTTTATTTTATTTATGTTCTGTATGTTTTGTGCAGCAACTACAGCCTGATAAAAATTTAATTTTAATGTCAAAAATTACCAGTCTTTTCCTTATGGTTTGTCCTTTTTTGTGTGTTTCACTTAAATTCTTCCTTTCTATGATGTGTAAAAATAGTTTCATATATTTTCTTCTCAAATTATTAAAATTTTGTTTTTGACATTTGGAACTTTAAACACTTCTTTATTCAACAAACCCTTCAAGTCTACAGAAGCAGCAATGAAGAAAATGGATCAAACCTCACCTTGTTGTTTTTCTTAGAACTATTTTGAATTCATCTACTACAATGGGCATCATATTGAATTTTAGGTGGCATGGGGTTTAGGATTAAAAAATTCAGACTAAATTCTAATCTGCCACTTACCCATTCTCTGTCTTTGACTGAATTCTATAATCTTGGTAAACCTCATATTTATTTATCTATAAAACTGAGATAGTGATAAACTTTCTCACTAGATTGTCATGAAAATTAAGTTCTTGCCATTATGCTTTATGAATTGTCAACTAAAAACATTTTAGTTAATATTTTAGTCAATTTTTTCTATTAAAAATGCTTACTAGTATGTTTTTCTTTCATTCATTAAACGAATATTTATTGATCGATTTCTACCTGCCAATTTCATGCATAAAAATCTCTACTCTCTTACTGAGATAAACTTTAAAGCCAAGTTATAGGTGAAGAGAAGAAAGGCAATACTCATTTTTCTACTTCAAAATTGCCACAAATGAAAAATTTATTTTGTGTCTACATCAGATTAAATAGCTGAATAAAAACATAAAAATTAATGATTATCCAGTTTTATCTAGTTTTTAACGTAGATGCCTGTTTCATTGTCTACAAAATCTTACCCAATTGTCTGTCTTGCTGCCAATTACCATGTAAGACCCTTGGACATAGACAGTGTACTGCCACTTTTTTTTTTATGCCATTTAACCATATGGTTAAATCAGTCCACTCTGGTTTATAAGATACCTGAAATACCTGGGTCCTTAGCGAGGTCAACCAGTCATTTTGGCTACCATATCAACTGATTCAGACTGGCTGAGATACAATTCCATGAACTCTGTGGTGCACATATGTTGTTATAACTGAAAACATCAGCTGTCAAGTGGTCTACTCTGGTCATTCAGCGCTAGATGAGAAAGCATATACAAATCAGCCAGTTCACATTGTCACCATGGTGACCATTCCACTAAATGGAAATCCTGACAAATGCAGGTCATAAGGTTGTGTGTTGTTTTAAAAGCATGAGTAATAAAACATATATTTATATAACAGATTTGGTCTCACTGGGAGTTGAGTTATGTCCCTGATGTGTGGCCAGATGTTTTATATCACTCTCTTTTCCTTACACAGAATGTTTACTACATAGACATTTATTTTTTCTGAATATTTGCATACATACCTTGCTCCAGAGTAGTTTAAATTGATCTCACATAGTTGTTTGTGTTGAGAGATAATCTCTGAAACATCCACCAAATCTCTGAAATACTGTTACTTACCAATAGTTAGCAATTTCATAAATAGTCATTAAATTAAAGAGGTTATGTACAAGAAATATAAAAAGAAACAGCTCAGTATTAAAAAACAAAGCTCAGATCATCATACTGAATATCATAAGTAGAAATAAATAATAAACATAATATGAGTTAAGACGGTTTTGATATTTTATTATTAATGATTTTCTGAATTTTCATTACATTTATTATTTACATCTTTACATACATGCATCTTTATATTTTTGATTCCTGTAAAAATTTGATGAGATATTTAAAGCAAACTATCTAGTTTCTCTCTACTTTGCAGTTAATAGAATTTCCCTGCATATTACACAGGATAGGCTTGGTTATGCTGTAGTATCAAACAATCCTAAAATTGCCATTGTTTAATAAAAATGATCCATTTCTAGTTTATGTTAAATGTCTTTCTTGAGTGGTCAGGGCCTCTGCTCCAGGTTGTCTTCACAAAGAGAAGCAGATTGCTATAGGCTTCACTTTCTGGAGCATGGCAGAGGTCAGGGAAAAGCAAATTATACAATTCAAAGTGAAAGGCTCACATTTCATCAGCCAAAGCAAATTACAGAACCTGTCTAATTCCAAGCAAGTTAGGGAGGACAATCCTACTGTGTACCCAGAAAGAGGAAAATCAGAAGTACCACAGGAACAGCACTGAGCTTACATAACCTGTTAGAGAGATACCAGGACTAAAGCCAGAATTCTCACTACCTATACTGTTCTTACCATTCTGCCTGATGCTATAAACCAAAATGCCACTCCTGCCTAAACTGTTGGAGTGATAAGGCAAATATCCTTGATATGAGTATTTAATTTAGTGAAACAGGAGGGAAATTGGCATAATGATAATTCAGATATGACAGGAACATATGTGAATTGCAAATTCTTGGGTGGGGGTTGAATTTGAAATTAATCTTGAATTGCTGGTAGATTTGGAGAGGTAGAGCTGGAGAAGGGCTGGTGATAAATTGTATTTCAGGTGATGCTGATAAGGAGAAAGAAGAAAAATTGTTATGCAAAGAAGTAACTGCAGACTTGCATTTAATTTATGTGAATTCAATTATAAGAAACCTAAGGGTGTAAGAGAAAAATATAAAAGTATGGAGAGAGAGAGAGAAAGAAAGAGAGAGAGAGAGACAGAGAGGGAGAGAAAGAGAGAGAGAGAGACTGTGAGAGAGATAAGTTAAGCAGATGGGCACATTCCTGTTGCACTAAATGAGCCACACATCCTGGTGAGAATGTGAGATGAGATACTTGAATCTATTCTTCCACTCTTTATTCTCAGTCACCTCCTATCTCTCAAAGCACATTGTATGAGTATCACAAAAAATTTGGCGTGATATAATGTTCAACACATATTTTTTCCACAATCTGATCCTGAAGCCTAAGCCAACTACTTTATAACTTGCTCAACTGAAGCAATACTTTTTTCAATCTAAAGAACAAACTAGCTATGTTGAACTTGTGTGTGTATTCATCAACTGGAGATATTCTTTATTAATCTCCAAAACATTGTTTTTAAAGTGATTTCTAAGGGTAATTTGGCTATCTGTGATGTTCAACTTATGTTTTGACTTCAGAACCTAATTCCCATAGAGACTATGAATTTGTAACTACACTGCATGAGACACTAGTCTCCAAAAGTGGGGTTGGAGAAAATATTAGGATTTATATTTTTATATTTTTAACTTCAAATACTTTATATTTCTATAAAATTAAAAATATTTTATGTTTCAGTACACAATTTTATATTTTTATTTAAACACTTTTATTTTTATTTTAAATACTTTATATTTTTAACCTATTCTTTTAAATAGGTATAACTCTTTACTCCTTGCCTTCTGTGTTCTGTGAGGCACACAGTTTGCCCATAGTTTGCAATGATTCTTGGTCCAAGACCTCTGGTCACTAAAGCCTGATGTAATAGTAAGATATTTCTGTTCACATGTCCAGCAGTGTTAACCAGATTATATGATACATAAAGAGATGTCAGCATTATAGAAAGAGAAATACCGCATGTTTAGCTCTACTTGTAAGTAGAGCTAAATAGCGTGTACACATGGAAGGAGATTGTGGAATGATGAACAATTGGGAGTCAGAGGAGTGAGGGGGTGAGAGGGGAGTGGATGATTATGAGGTTGCTCGGTGGACACAATGTACATTGCTCCAGGGTTGGATGCACTAAGACCTGACTTCACTGCAATGTAGTATATCAATGTAGTAAAATTGCACTTGTATGCCATAAATATGTACAAATAAATTTTTTAAGTATCAGCATTATTTAAAAATGAAAAATAAAACCTGTACCCTGTAGAGACATTTCTAACCACACTCAAATATCTCTTCAGTAGAGAGGCAGTCTATGAGAAAAGAGAGAAATGGGACAGACCTACTTATTAGCCCAGGTTTTTTCACTTTCCAATTTATAATCTTAGGCAATTACATAACCTCTTTGACTGTCAGTCTTAATTACAAAAATGAGAATACCTAACTGTCAGGATTGAAATAAATTGTGCAAATCACCATAGTGATGCCTAGTGCAAAATAAGAACAAATAGAAGATAGCTATATTATTAAATTATAAAATAATCTAATGTATTGTGTCAACCTAAATAACAAAGAGGGAGAGGCTCTCTAACAGAAAATGATGTTTATTTGGGAATAGGGCATTGCAATGGAAATACACATGCCATAGTAAGCTATGTGCATATTCAGAGAGATAGGAAAACAAACGCTTTTAAGGAAAAATGAGGAGGATTACATAATTGTCTTGAGATAATTATCCTGGGTTAGGAGGATCACTAAGAAGGGTGGCGCCAGTCCAAGGTCGGACAGGCAGTTACTGAGCTGGTGTCCTTGCAGAAATATTTTTTATGTGTGTATAAGGTTATGATGTGGCCTTTGTACAAGGTCAGACTCTTTTGTGATAGTTCATGTTTCCAGGCATTTGTGCATGAGAATGCTCTCTTCATGGCCTTCTCCGGCTTTATTTGTCAGGGTTTTTTTTTTTTTTTTCTTCACCTAACGCAAGTGACTTCATTTTACTTCTGACGACTTCACACTTCTCTATAGAGTTGTCCTCAACTCTTACTCTCAAGACAAGAACTAGCAGTACCCAGCGCTGTTTCCACACAGAAACAGGAGGCTAGTATTGTTAACACATGCTTCTCAGTGGTGCTCACTGCTTTGGGTTCTCACTCAGATTCTTGTTGAACCCAGCCACAGTAGGATGAATTTTCCCATAAGAAGTTACAATTGCATAATGTGTCCTTTGAACAGGCCCACTTCTTCAAAATTGCATTTTACGTTGATAAATGTAAAATTTGTAAACGGCCAATGCACTTGTCTCACTGTACCATACAATTTTTAGCTGAGAAGATATTCTTCCTGCAGGTTGTGTTACCTGGTAAGTTTAGAGCACATTCTCCTAAATGAGGAATTTATCACTTCTATTTTTTAAATTACTAAAATATGTAAATGTGGGGAAAAGAAAGAGAGATCAGATTGTTACTGTGTCTGTGTAGAAAGAAGCAGACATAAGAGACTCCATTTTGTTCTGTACTAAGAAAAATTCTTCTGCCTTGAGATGCTGTTAGTCTGTAACTTTACCCCCAACCCTGTGCTCCCTGAAACATGTGCTGTGTCAATTTAGGGTTAAATGGCTTAAGGGCTGTGCAAGATGTGCTTTGTTAAACAAATGCTTGAAGGCAGAATGCTTGTTAAGAGTCATCACCACTCCCTAGTCTCAAGTACCCAGGGACACAAAACACTGCGGAAGGCCGCAGGGACTTCTGCCTAGGAAAGCCAGGTATTGTCCAAGGTTTCTCCCCATGTGATAGCCTGAGATATGGCCTCGTGGGAACGGAAAGACCTGACCATCCTCCAGCCCGACACCCTGTGCTGAGGAGGATTAGTAAAAGAGGAAGGAACTCCTCTTTGCAGTTGAGACAAGAGGAAGGCATCTGTCTCCTGCCCGTCCCTGGGCAATGGAATGTCTCTGTGTAAAACCCGATTGTATATTCCACCTACTGAGATAGGGGAAAACCACCTTAGGGCTGGAGGTGGGACAGGCAAGCAGCAATACTGCTCAAGGCATTGAGATGTTTATGTATATACATATCTAAAGCACAGCACTTAATTCTTTACCCAGTTAATGATGCAGAGACCTTTGTTCGTGTGTTTACCTGCTGACCTTCTCTCCACTATTATCTTATGACCCTGCCACATCCCCCTCTCCGAGAAACACCCAATAATGATCAATAAATACTAAGGGAACTCAGAGGCCGGTGAGATCCTCCTTGTGCTGAAGGCTGGTCTCTTGGGCCCCCTTTTTCTTTCTCTATACTTTGTTTCTGTGTCTCTTTCTTTTCCAAGTCTCTCGTTGCACCTAACAAGAAAAACCCACAGGTGTGGAGGGGCAACCCACCCCTTCATGTAAATATTTTCACCCTAATATTTTCATAGCTGCAGTAGTTTTTGCCACTTTTCAGGGTACATTTTAAGAGAAAATGTTCATAAAATCAGTCACCTTTAATTATAATTCTTGAGAATGTTTCCCAATGTGTATGCTAAAAACAATACGCCTTCTCAATTACATTACATTCCAGTTCGAAATACAATTTATACACAAATTTATCTATTTTCATAGAAGCTCTATTAAAATAACTTTCTTACAAAGTAAAATATCAAAAGTAAAATGATTGAAAATTAAAGGTAAATCTTGTATATTATTTGAATTCTCATTAAAAACAAGTTCAGCTTCTCTCTTTTTTGGGATAAACTTCAATATCTTTCCCTTTGAAAGCTTTGTTTTCAGTAATTCCTGTTTGCTGAAAGCTTCAAAGTCTGACATTTTGTGGTGGTTCATTTGTTGAATGGTTTAAGTGAACATTCCCAAATAATTTTCAATAAGGTATACCAAAATGTACCAAATTTACAATAAAATACTGTAACATTTTTAAATTTGCAAAATTTATCAAAAAATTATGAAAGAAGTTTTTCCTGTTATAAGGCATTTAGATTGACTTTTAAAGTAGGTCTTCTAATGTGCAACATTTAAAAAATCCTTTTGGTGATTGGGAATAGCGAGATTGCCTATTATTTTGAGGAAATTTACATTGTATTTATCATTGGCTTCATCACAAAATTATTTAGGTTGGTTACTCTAATTGTGTGTATGGGGTGAATCAGAGCAATACACAAACTATAAAAATAATAGATATTGCTCTAATTGTATTATATACCTATAAATTATATAATTCTATAAATTATAAGTTACTAATAAAATATTGACAACTTCTATTTCTATCAGGCTAATCAAGCTAATCAGCTTGTTCAAATACAAATGTAAATTACATTTGCACTTTCATGCGTGTGAAGAGACCACCAAACAGGCTTTGTGTGAGCAACATGGCTGTTTATTTCACCTGGGTGCAGGCGGACTGAGTCCGAAAAGAGAGTCAGCAAAGGGAGATAGGGGTGGGGCCATTTTATAGGATTTGGGAAGGTAATGGAAAATTACAGTCAAAGGGGGTTGTTCTCTGGTGGGCAGGGGTGGGGGGTCACAAGGTGCTCAGTGGGGGAGCTTCTGAGCCAGGAGAAGGAAATTCACAGGGTTAATCACTCAGTTAAGGTGGGGCAGGAACAAATCACAATGGTGGAGTGTCATCAGTTAAGATGGGGCAGGGCCTTTTCACTTCTTTTGTGATTCTTCAGTTACTTCAGGCCATCTGGGCGTATATACGTGCAAGTCACAGGGGATGCGATGGCTTGGCTTGGGCTCAGAGACCTGACATTCCTGCCTTCTTATATTAATAAGAAAAATAAAACAAAATAGTGTTGCAAGTGTTGGGGCGGCGAAAATTTTTAGGGGGTGGTATGGAGAGAGAATGGGCGGTGTTTCTCAGGGCTGCTTCAAGCGGGATTAGGGGCGGCGTGGGAACCTAGAGTGGGAGAGATTAAGCTGAAAGGAGATCTCGTGGTAAGGGGTGATATTGTGGGGTTGTTATAAGAAACATTTGTTGTATAGAATGATTGGTGATGGCCTGGATACGGTTTTGTATGAAATGAAAAACTAAATGGAATAAGAAGGAGAAAAACAGGTATAAAAGGTCTAAGAATTGGGACGACTCAGGATATCTGATTAGAGAGTGCCTGAGGAGATTCAGCATATTCCTGCCAGCGGAGATTATTTATTTACTTCAAGAGTTAAGAGTGGCAGTTTGGGGATAGCACCAGGAGATATCAGCTGTGATGGCTTGGAGAAGCAGTGTAAACCGGCAGTGTAAACAAGAGCAGGGCATGTATGAGTAGTTGAGAATGGAGAATAGGAGTATGACTAGACAGAAAATAGTAGGGATGACAAGTTTTTTGGGGGCACAGTCTAAGTTGGTCCGGTGTCTGGAATGAGACTGGGGCCTAATAAAAAGGAGCATCTATACAGGAGCTTAAATGGGCTGTACCTTGTAGCATTCTGAGGACAGGCCTGAATTCTGAGAAGCAGAAGCGGTAAAAGTATTGTCCAGTCCTTTTTAAGTTGGTGGCTGAGCTTGGTGAGGTGTGTTTTTAAAAGACCTTTAGTCCGTTCTACTTTTCTTGAAGAGGGAGGACCGTAAGGGATATAAAGGTTTCACTGAATACTAAGAGCCTGAAAAACTGCTTGGCTGATTTGACTAATAAAGGCTGGTCTGTTATCAGACTGTATAGAGGTGGGAAGGCTAAACTGAGGAATTATGTCTGACAGAAGGGAAGAAATGACTACGGTGGCCTTCTCACACCCTGTAGGAAAGGCCTTTACTTATTCAGTGAAAGTGTCTATTTAGACTAAGAGGTATTTTAGTTTCCTGACTTGGGCATGTTGAGTAAAGCTAATTTGCCAGTCCTGGGTGGGGGCAAATCCTGGAGCTTGATGTGTAGGGAAGGGAGGGGGCCTGAATAATCCCCGAGGAGTAGTAGAATAGCAGATGGAACACTGAGAAGTTATTTCCTTGAGGATAGATTTCCACGATGGAAAGGAAATGAGAGGTTCTGAGAGGCGGGCTAGTGGCTTATACTATAGCATAGCCTGCCTTTGCTGGTATGTGGTGATTAGGCCTGGTGGAACTGCCATCAATAAATCAAGCGTGATCAGGGTGAGGAACAGGAAAGAAGGAAATATGGGGAAATGGGGTGAATATCAGGTGGATCAGAGAGATACAGTCATGGGGGTCAGGTGTGGTATCAGGAATAATGTGGGCAGCCAGATTGAAGTCCGGGCCAGGAACAATGGTAATTGTGGGACTTAACAAAGAGTGAGTACAGCTGAAGGAGCTGGGGAGCAGAAAGTATATGCGTCAGGTATGAGGAAGAAAATAGATTTTGGAAGTTATGAGACATGTAGAGAGTGAGTTGAGCATAGTTTGTGATTTTTAGGGCCTCCAAAAGTATTAAAGCAGCGGCAGCCTCTGCACGCAGACATGAGGGCTAGGCTAAAACAGTAAGGTCAAGTTGTTTGGACAGAAAGGCTACAGGGTGTGGTCCTGGCTCTTGTGTAAGAATTCTGACCGCACTAACCATGCCTAGGAAGGAAAGGAGTTGTTGTTTTGTAAGGGATTGAGGTTTGGGAGATTAATCGGACATGATCAGCAGGGAAAGCACGTGTGTTTTTATGAGAATTATGCCGAGATAGGTAACAGATGAGGATGAAATTTGGGCTTCACTGAAGTAATGGGGGCTGTTTGTGAAGCCTCGTGGCAGTACAGCCCAGGTAATTTGCTGGGCCTAATCGGTGTCAGGGTCAGTCTAAGTGAAAGCAAAGAGAGGCTGGGATGAAGGGTGCAAAGGAATAGTAAAGAAAGCATGTTTGAGATTAGAACAGAATAATGGGTAGTAGAGGGAGCTATTGAGGATAGGAGAGTATATGGGTTGGCACCACGGGGTGGATAGGCAAAACAATTTGGTTGATAAGGCGCAGATTCTGAACTAACTTGTAAGCCTTGTCTGGTTTTAAGACAAGTAAAATGGGGGAATGGTAAGGAGAGTTTATAGGGTTTAAAAGGCCATGCTGTAGCAGGCGAGTGTTAACAGGCTTTAATCCTTTCAAAGTGTGCTGTGGGATGGGATATTGCCGTTGAGCGGGGTAAGGGTGATTAGGTTTTAATGGAATGGTAATGGGCATGTGATCGGTTGCCAGGGAAGGAGTAGAGATGTCCTATACTTGTGGGTTAAGGTGGCGGGATATGAGAGGAAGACTCGAAGGAGGCTTTGGGTTGGGGAGAAGGGCGGCAATGAGATGTGGCTGTAGTCTAGGAAGAGTCAGGGAAGCAGATAATTTGGTTAAAATATCTCGGCCTAATAAGGGAACTGGGCAGGTGGAGATAACTAAAAAAGAGTGCATAAAAGAGTATTGTCTAAGTTGGCACGAGAGTGGGGGAGTTTTAAGAGGTTTAGAAGCCTGGCCGTCAATACCCACAACAGTTATGGAGGCAAGGGAAACAGACCCTTGAAAAGAAGGTAATGTGGAGTGGGTAGCCTCCATATTGATTAAGAAGGGGATGGACTTACCCTCCACTGTGAGTTACCTAAAGCTCGGCATCCGTGATGGTCTACGGGGCTTCTGAGGTGATCAGGCAGCGTCAGTCTTCAGCCGGTAAGCCAAGAAGGAGTCAGTCAGAGAGCCTTGGGCCAGAGTTCCAGGAGCTCTGGGAGTGGCTGCCAGGTGAGTTGAACAGTCCGATTTTCAGTGGGGTCCCACACAGATGGGACGCGGCTTAGGAGGAATCCCGGGCTGCGGGCGTTCCTTGGCCCAGTGGCCAGATTTCTGGCATGTGTAGCAAGTTCCTGGGGGAGGAGGTTCTGGAGAAACGCCTGGCTGCTACAGTTCAGGCGTTTGGAAGTTCTTGTGTGCTGGAGATGTGGCTGGGGTTTGTCTCACAGTGGAGGCAAGGAATTGCATCTTTTTTCTGTTATTGCACACCTTGAAGGTGAGGTTAATTAAGTCCTGTTGTGGGGTTTGAGGGCCAGATTCCAGTTTTTGGAGTTTTATTTAATGTTGGGAGCAGATTGGGTAATAAAATGTATATTGAGAATAAGACGGCCTTTTGACCTTTTAGGGTCTAGGGCTGTAAAGCGTCTCAGGGTTGCTGCCAAACGAGCCATGAACTGGGCTGGATTTTTATATTTGATGAAAAAGAGCCTAAACGCTTTCTGATTTGCGATAAAGAAAAAGGAGCATTAACCTTGACTATGCCTTTAGTTCCAGCCACCTTTTTAAGAATAAATTGCTGGGCAGGTGGGGGAGGGCTAGTCACGGAATGAAACTGTAAGCCGAAGCAGGTGTGAGGAGGGGAGGCGATAAAAAAGATTATAGGGTGGAGGAGCGGAGGCTGAGGAAGAATTGGGACCTAGCTCGGCCTGTCGAGGAGGGGAGAGGTCAGATGGGTCTGTAGAAAAGGAAGATTAGAAAGACTCAGCGATGCTTGGGGTTGGTACTGAGGGGACAGGTGGGAGGGAAAGAAGGAAGATTTGGGACGAATTGCACGGGGCACAGAGACTAGGAAGGGACTGATGTGTAAAAGAATGCCTGGCCGTCAGGCACCTCAGACCATTTGCCCATTTTACGACAAGAATTATTTAGATCTTGTAGGATGGAAAAATTGAAAGTGCCGTTTTCTGGCTATTTGGAACTACTGTTGAGTTTGTATTGGGGTCAAGCGGCATTGCAGAAGAAAATAAGACGCTTAGATTTTAGGTCAGGTGAGAATTGAAGAGGTTTTAAGTTCTTAAGAATACAGGCTAAGGGAGAAGAAAGAGGAATGGAAGGTGGAAGCTTGCCCATAGTGAAGGAGGCAAGCCCAGAGAAAAGAGTAGAGACACGGAGAAGGGGTGGGGGTTTCTTGCCCTCCAGAAAAGCAGAGAAAGTGTTGGGGCACGGAAATAAGGGATTGGGGTGCAGAGATAAGAGATTGGGGCGTGGAAATAAGGGATTGGGGTGCAGAGATAAGAGGTTGGGGTGTGGAAATAAGCGATTGGGGGGTTCTTGCCCCCTAGGAAAGCGGGACTTGCCGCTAAGGGTGAAGGAGAAGGGGTTGAGGTGTACTTGCCCCTGCCCCAGGATAGCAGAGAAGGAGTAGAGACAGAGAAGGGGTTGGGGTACATGTCCCGTCCCCGGAAAAGCAGAGAAGGGGTAGAGACAAGGAGAGAAGGGGTTGGGATACTTGCCCCTTCCCCAGAAAAGCGGGACTTGCTGCTAAGGGTGAAGGACCAAGGCAGGCGTCCCTGCGTGGTCTGACACCCTTGAAACGTGACTGTATAATCAGAGAGGCGTCCCTGCAATGATTAAACACCAAGGGAAGGCTGCCTTCCCAGTCCGTGACCGGCGCCAGAGTTTTGGGTCCACAGATAAAACTTGTCTCCTTTGTCTCTACCAGAAAATGAAAGGAATTGAAATTAAGAGAAGGGAGAGATTGAAGTGTGGCGCCAAGATTGAAAAGAGAAAGAGGTTGAGGGATAGGGAGGTTGGAGAAGAGAGTAAAAAGAGTCTGCTTACCGGATTTGAAATTGGTGAGATGTTTCTTGTGCTGGTCGGTCTGAGGACCTGAGGTGGTAGGTGGATCTTTCTCACAGAGCAAAGAACAGGAGGACAGGGGATTGATCTCCCAAGGGAGATCCCCCAATCGGAGTCACGGCACCAAATTTCATGCGCGTCCGTGTGAAAAGACCACCAAACAGGCTTTGTGTGAGCAACATGGCTGTTTATTTCACCTGGGTGTAGGCGGACTGAGTCTGAAAAGAGTCAGCAAAGGGAGGTAGGGGTAGGGCCGTTTTATAGGATTTGGGAAGGTAATGGAAAATTACAGTCAAAGGGGGTTGTTCTCTGGTGGGCAGGGGCGGGGGTCACAAGGTGCTCAGTGGGGGAGCTTCTGAGCCAGGAGAAGGAAATTCACAGGGTTAATCACTCAGTTAAGGTGGGGCAGGAACAAATCACAATGGTGGAATGTCGTCAGTTAAGATGGGGCAGGGCCTTTTCACTTCTTTTGTGATTCTTCAGTTACTTCAGGCCATCTGGGCGTATATGTGCAAGTCACAGGGGATGCTATGGCTTGGCTTGGGCTCAGAGGCCTGACATGCACCACAACAAATTCCAAGTGCATTGAATTAAGAACTTTATATTATTCAATAAGTAATTAATATTAATCTGCCAAATTTATTAACATTATTTTTACCATGACACCCACCAAGAGTTTGGATAATTGTTACAAAACAGTTTTATATTTAATCATTTAATTTTTAATTGAATTTACAATAGTATGTATGATAATGTCAGATGTTTCACTTTTGGCAGCATACATTTTTTACAGTTTGCTTTGATTCAAGAATTGTATTAAAAATTGAATCATTATTTAATTTAACTGAGTTTTATGTTTGAAGTATGGGATACTACTGATTTAATCCTGACATCATTTAACTGTTTAAAAAATGATTCTTCCCCTAAAAGAG